>NC_000017.11:7157777-7309292 GCF_000001405.40 Homo sapiens | reverse complement strand
GTGTTACTTGCCACTGAAACCAACCACCCCTCTTCCCCACATATAGCCAGGGCTATAATTAGGTGAGCAGCTATGATCCAGCAAAAGGGCAGGGCTAATTGGGGGGGGGGAGGGTGGAGACCGGAGGACAAGGCCCCACCCATCTGTTACACTGCCCCCCCCCATCCACACACAAACCAGTCACTGCTACAGGAAACCACAAGGCCTCTTTGGGGGATTCCCGCCTCGCCAACATGCACTTGCAACAAGCCAAGGGGGAGAAAGCAAAGTTGTTTCCGAAATGATCCCCCTGCCAAACACCTCGATCTTGGTTCCCAAAGAGAACCCAGGAACCCAGCCTCTCCTGGAAGGCCCTCCCACTTTTCCCAGGATGCATCTGTCCTGTCGGCTTTTCAGGCCGGGCCAGTACAGTCAGTAGAAAGTGGGAGAGGTGGGGGGTGGTGAATGACAATAAAATGAAAGCAAAAGGTTGGTAGTAGTGAGTAGTAGAAAATCATACTAGGCTAGTAGAGTTAAGGACTTCGAAACCGTGGAACTCCCAAACCAGTTACAACAGGAAGACAGTGACAAGGTGAAGAACGCCTATCACGGTGGGAAACTCATCTGCCTGAGGCTTTTAGGCGCTGTCCACCCAGGCCGACAGAAAAGTTGGGCTCCTGTCCAAACGCCCTGTTTCCCCATTTCTCCGGCCTCCCAGCTCGAAGGGGTGCCACTTACACCTGGCTGACCGCCACACTTCACAGGAGGGTTTTTCAGGAAAGCTCCTGGGGCCCTTGAGGTTGGGAAGCGCTAACATATGCCTGCAGCAGGCCCTCCGGGGTGATTAGGACCCGAGCCTCCGGCTTCCACTCCTCAAAATCTCAGGCCCCCTCGGAACCCCCGCGAGGACTAGCTCCCCGCGCTAGGGGCTGCCGGCTCCTGCCGACCATGTGGCCGTTCCGGGCTTCCGGTGGCCGGGACCTGGGGGGAGGGGTCCCCGCGCTGCCATGCGGCCCCGGTCCACGCTTGGCCATGCGGCCTGCGACCCCGAGGGCAGCCTCCCGTGGGGGGCACTTCCGGTGCCGCGGCCGCCCCCTCCTCAGAGACTGCGCCAGGCCGGAGCCACGCCGCCTCCCCTCCCCCCGGCCGTCCGCCAACCCCCCCCATCATGCCCTCTCACCGAATAGCCCCCTCCCCCACCTCACGTGGCCGCGCTGAGCCGGGTCCTCAACGGCCCAGGTACCCTTGCCCCGGTGGGCCGATCTGGCCCCTGGCCCTCGCCCCGGCGTGGCCGCCTGGCGGCCTCTCCCGCGTGGCTGCCTCGCGGCTCGCCGTCCCCCGCCCTGCGTCGCTCCAACGTCACCGGGCCAACCCCAACCGTCACCCCGCGCGCCAACCGGGGCGCGCGCCCGCGCCTCTCCTCACCTCGCGCCGCTCTCTGGCCGAACCCGTGCGGCGGCGGCCGCCGCTCCCCTCTGCCCCCTCCCCGACCCCCGCGCAGTTCCATCTTCTCCCGGGCCCAAGCCAAGGTACCGCGCACACGCGCCCTGCCCGCTCTCACCTCGCGCGAACGCACTGACTCGACCCCGTCCGCTCGCCGCGAGCCCAACCGCTGCCTCCGAGCCCGCTGCCGCCGCCGCCGCCGCCTCTACCGCCGCCGCCGCTGCTGCACACGGGTCTTAGTACGCAGGCGCCGACTCCCCACTGACCAACCAAGCAGCCCTATGACAGCCGCGCAAGCGTGCTATCTATCTCCTCCGCCCTCCACCCCCGCACTGCGCAAGCGCACACACCCTACCCATCTCCACCCTCCCTCCCACCGACCCGTCCAATGACGCGCATACGTGACCCCGCCCCTCACAAACCCTGAGCGTTTTCAACTAATCTGCAACGCGCAGGCGCACCCGGTTTTTTAATCTCTTCAACCTCATCTTCCCTCCCCTTGATAGACCGCTCGTCCTACCGGGCAGTCCTTGCGCCTGCGCAATAAGGAGCCCTGCACTCCACACCCTCTAAAGGAAACGCCTGGGTCTCAGAACGCATGCGTGTTCGGAATCCTAAACAACCCCTTCCACCTCAGACGCCGTCAGTACGCCAGGCGTTGAAAAGACCACGCCGCTAGATCACTTGTCTCGTCTAGAACGCATGCGTCTCAGGATACGCCCCACCTCGGCTTTAACTGGACTTAAACGACTCACACGTTTCAGAAAACTTGCTCTGTGGGGTGGGCGCCTTGTCTTGGAATCAGTCCCCCCAGTTCCACACATGCGCGGGAGATGTCTTTCCGCCCCACTCTTCTAGCGCGCTAGTGTGGTCGGGTTCCCACCCATCTCGGCTTCACTTCTCTAAATCGAATGCCTATGCTCTGCCATAGAGTTCACCCGAGAAGATAGAGCGGTCCTGCGGCGGACACCATCTTCTTTAAACCCTCAGTCCGTATTGGTCTCTATGGCATCCATAGAGGCCATTCGGCTCTGAGGTCCTCAGTAAAGAAACTTAGATGGTATTACTGTGTTTTCCCCAACTGTGCTCTGCGGTTCCCCAAAGTATTGTCTACGAGGTCCCTTAGAAAAAATTGTCTATAAAAATGAGTGGTGGGCCGGGCGCGGTGGCTGACACCTGTAATCTCAGCACTCTGGGAGGCCGAGGCGGGCGGATCACCTGAGGTCGGGAGTTCGAGACCAGCCTGACCAACATGGAGAAACCCCGTCTCTACTAAAAATACAAAATTAGCCGGGCGTGGCGGCGCATGCCTGTAATCCCAGCTACTCGGGAGGCTGGGACAGGAGAATCGCTTCTCCTGTGGAGGTTGCCGTGAGCCGAGATTGCGCCATTGCACTCCAGCCTGGGTAACAAGAGCGAAACTCAAGTCTCAAAAACATAAATAAATAATACATAAATAAAATAAAATAGTGGTAGGCCGGGAGCGGTGGCTCACGCCTGTAATCCCAGCACTTTGGGAGGCCGAGGCGGGCGGATCACAAGGTCAGGAGTTCAAGACCAGCCTGGCCAACGTAGTGAAACCCCCGTCTCTACTGAAAATACAAAAAAATTAGCCGGGCGTGGAGGTGGGCGCCTGTACCAGCTACTCGGGAGGCAGAGGCAGGAGAATCGCTTGAACCCAGGAGGCGGAGGTTGCAGTTAGCCGACATCGCACCACTGCACTCCAGCCTAGGAGACACAGCGAGAGACTCTGTCTCAAAAAAAAAAAAAAAAAAAAAAAAGTGGTATGTTAGATTACATTGACATTGTCTTAATCATAGGAGACCATGAAGCTGGAGACGAGCTATCTTCCCAACTTTATTTTCTTTGCCCTCCCTCTCTCCGCCCCCCATTTCGCTTTTCCTGAAACTTCGTAGTCTTCTTCCAATTCCTGGGTTTCTTGCACTACCTTCATGGCTGCCTTGTTGGATAACAAGACTGAAACAAGCGGCCAGGCGCAGTGGCTCACACCTGTAATCCCAGCACTTTGGGAGGCCAAGGCGAGCAGATCACTTGGGTCAGGAGTTCCAGACCAACCTGGCCAACATGGTGAAACCCCGTCCCCACTAAAAATACAAAAATTAGCCGTGCCGTGGTGGTGCGTGCCTGTAATCCCAGCTACTCGGGAGGCTGAGGCAGGAGAATCGCTTGAACCCAGAATGTGGAGATTGCAGTGAGCCGAGATCTCGCCAATGCACTCCAGCCTGCACGACAGAGCAATACGCCATCTCAAAAAAAAAAAAAAAAAAAAAAAGACAGAAACAAGCGACCAAAGATCTTGGGATCTCATCCTTCTTTTGTGTCTTTAAGGAATTACTTCAGATAGCTCTGCCTTAATTTTCTTCCCATAAAATGAGAATAATAATGATGCCTGAACTTCCCAATTTTTCAGGACGTTGCAAAAATTCTGCAACATGGGTTGGGCATAGTGGCTCATACCTGTAGTCTTAGCTTTTTGGGAGGTCAAGGTGGGAGGCTCCCGTGAGGCTAGCAGTTACAGACCAGACTGGGCAACATAACAACGGCCCATCTCTACAAATAAAAAATTAAAAAAACAAAAACAAGAAAAGCTCAGCTCAGTGGCTGGTGCCTGTAGACCTAGCTACTCTTTCTTGGGAGGCTGAGGTGGAGGGATAGCTTGAGTCTAGGAGTTCGAGGCTTCATTGAGCTATAATCCCCACCACTGCACTTGAGCCTGGGCAACAGAGAACCTGTTTCTTAAAAAAGAAAAAAAAAAAGTCTTGTGACACGATACATGTGAACTGCAAACACTAGATTGAATTACTACATTTGTGTAGCCTGTTATGCTAACCCCCAGCTACTTCCCCTCAATTTTCTGAAATTCATGCCCTTTCCTTTGTAAAAAAAAAAAACAAAAACAAAAACAAAAAAACGCAAACAACTTTGTGAGTACATTGTTCAAAAGTCCAACACCTGCTTTTCTCAAAGCAAAGTATGTATTGTTCATGTGACCCAGCAATTCCACTCCAACGTATATATACTCCCAATGAATTAAAAACAGGTACTCAAAGAAAATCCGGGCCGGGTGCGGTGGCTCACGCCTGTAATCCCAGCACTTTGGGAGGCCGAGGCGGGCGGCTCATGAGGTCGGGAGATGGAGACCATCCTGGCTAACACGGTGACACCCCGCCTCTACTAAAAATAAAAAAATTAGCCGGGCCTGGTTGTGGGCGCCTGTAATCCCAGCTATTTGGGAGGCTGAGGCAGGAGAATGGCAAACCTGGGAGGTGGAGCTTGCAGTGAGCTGAGATCTCGCCACTGCACTCCAGCCTGGGCAACAGAGCAAGACTCCATCTCAAAAAAAAAAAAAAGCAAATCCGGGCATGTGAGTGTTCATTAGCAGCAGTTATTCACAGTAGCAAAAAAGGTGGAAAGAACCCAAATGTCTGTCAATAGATGAATGGATTTTTAAAATGTGGTATATCTATACAGTGGAATATTATTTAGCCATAAAAAGAGATGAAGTACGTGCTATAACTGGATGAATATTGGAAAACATTATGCTAAGTGAAAAAAGTCAAGATGCAAAAGGTCACATATTCTATGATTCCACTCTTAGAAAACATCTAGAATAGCCGGGCGCAGTGGCTCACGCCTGCAATCCCAACACTTTGGGAGGCTGAGACGGGTGGATCACCTGAGGTCGGGAGTTTGAGACCAGCCTGACCAACATGGAGAAACCCCATCTCTACTAAAAATACAAAATTAGCCTAGTGTGGTGGCGCATGCCTGTAATCCCAGCTACTCAGGAGGCTGAGGCAGGAGAATAGCTTGAAGCAGAGGTTGCAATGAGCCGAGATCATGCCGTTGTGCTCCAGCCTGGGCAACAAGAGCAAAACTCCATCACACACACACAAAAATTAACCAGGCGTGGTCATATGTACATGTAGTCCCAGCTACTGGGGAGGCTGAAGCAGGAGGATTGCCTGAGCTTAGGAGTTCAAGGCTGTAGTGAGCTGTGATCACACCACTGCACTCCAGCCTGGGTAACAGAGTAAAACCCTGTCAAAAAAAAAAAAAGAAGAAAAGAAAAAAACAGAAATGTTGTACATAAATGTTCAAAGCAACATTATTACTTTTTTTTTTTTTTGAGACGGATTCTTGCCCTGTCACTCGAGCTGGAGTGCAGTGGCACGATCTAGCTCACTGCAACCTCCGCCTCTCGGGTTCAAGCGATTCTCCTGCCTCGGCCTCCTGAGTAGCTGGGATTACAGGCACCTGCCACCACGCCTGGCTAATTTGTCTATTTTTAGTAGAGACGGGGTTTCATCATCTTGGCTAGGCTGATCTTGAACTCCTGACCTCGTGATGCACCCTCCTCGGCCTCCCGAAGTGCTGGGATTACAGGCGTGAGCCACCACACTTAGCCTGACCTTCTTTCTAATTTATATATTGAGCATTTCTCTTCTGTTCACATAGAAGTTTCCTTCTTGGGCCGGGCGCGGTGGCTCACGCCTGTAAACCCAGCACTTTGGGAGGCCGAGGTGGGCGAATCACAAGGTCAGGAGATCGAGACCATCCTGGCTAACACGGTGAAACCCCATTTCTACTAAAAATACAAAAAATTAGCCGGGCGTGGTGGCATGTGCCAGTAGTTCCAGCTACTCGGGCAGTAGTTACAGCTACTCAGGAGGCTGAGGCAGGAGAATCACTTGAACCCAGGAGGCGGAGGTTGCAGTGAGCTGAGATCGCACCACTGCACTCCAGCCTGGGCGACTCTGTCTCAAAAAAAAAAAAAAAAAGAAGTTTCCTCCTTGAGAAATAATTCGGCCGGGCAAGGTGGCTCACGCCTATAATCCCAGCACTTTGGGAGGCTGAGGCAGGTGGATCACAAGGTCAGGAGTTCAAAACCAGCCTGGCCAAAATGGTGAAACCCCATCTCTACTAAAAATACAAAAATTAGCTAGGCGCAGTGGCAGGTGCCTGTAATCCCAGCTACACAGGAGGCTGAGGCAGGAGAATTGCTTGAACTCGGGCTTCAGAGGTTGCAGAGAGCCAAGATCCTACCACTGCACTCAGGCCAGCCTGGGCGACAGAGTGAGACTCCACCTCAAAAAAAAAAAGAAAAGAAAACAAACAAACAAAAAAATTAGCCAGGTGTGGTGGCGCATGCCTGTAATCTCAGCTGCTAGGGAGGCTCAAAAAAAAAAAAAAAACACACACAAAACAAAACAGAGAGAAATGATTCGGCCAGGCACGGTGGCTCACACCGGTAATCCCAGCACTTTGGGAGGTCGAGGTGGGCAGATCACCTGAGGTCGGGAGTTTGAGACCAGCCTGGCCAACATGGTGAAACCCCGTCTCTACTAAAAATACAAAAATTAGTCAGGCATGGTGGCATGAGCCTGTAGTCGGATCACTTGAGGTGAGGAGGCTGAGGTGGGAGGATCACTTGAGCACAGGAGGTCAAGACTGGAGTGACCCCTGGTCATGCCACTGCACCCCAGCTGGGGTGACAGAGCAAGACCATGTCTGGAAAAAAAAAAGTTCAGTGCCATATTATTTGTTGTGGTTGAGAATTGGAGGTGCCATGGGTGCTCCTCAGTGGAACTGTGAGCAGGTAAAATGTGGCACAACTCATACTGCAGAGCATGGCGCAGCAATAGCTTTGATCATCATAGAGCATGGGTGGATTTTAACCACATAGTACTAACTGCAAATAAGATCAGAACGAAATCTATAACAAGATGTTATTTAGGGAAATTGAAAATGCACACAAAAACATACAGCAGATAAGACAAGGAGGTAGAGGCTGGAGAAAATGTCAAGGCTTTGACAGAGTGCTAGCCCAGCCTGCAAAGAGGGAAGGACAGTGGAAAGAGCAGCTAAAGAATAAATGTGTGGCCAAGCGCAGTGGCTCACGCCTGTAATCCCAGCATTTTGGGAGGCCGAGGTGGGCAGATCACTTGAGGTCAGGAGTTTAAAGCCAGCCTGGCCAACATGGCGAAACCCCATCTCTACTAAAGATACAAAAATTAGCCAGGCATGGTGGTGCACACCTGTAATCCCAGCTACTTGCGAGGCTGAGGCAAGAGAATCACTTGAACCCAGGAGGCAGAGGTTGCAGTGAGCCAAAGTGCGCCACTGCACTCCAGCCTGGGCAACAAGAGCAAAACTCTGTCTCAATCAATCAATCAATAAATGTGCCAGCCGGGCGCGGTGGCTCACGCCTGTAATCCCAGCACTTTGGGAGGCCGAGGCGGGCGGATCACGAGGTCAGGAGATCAAGACCATCCTGGCTAACACAGTGAAACCCCGTCTCTACTAAAAATACAAAAAATTAGCTGGGCGTGGTGGCGGCGGGCGCCTGTAGTCCCAGCTACTCGGGAGGCTGAGGCAGGAGAATGGCGTGAACCCGGGAGGCAGAGCTTGCAGTGAGCCAAGATCGCGCCACTGCACTCCAGCCTGGGTGACAGAGAGAGACTCCGTCTCAAAAATAAATAAATAAATAAATAAATAAATAAATAAATAAATAAATAAATAAATGTGAGAGGATAAGATGGACAGTGTGGGTATGAAACACTGTTGCTGTTGGGAAATAAGAGAGTAGTTATTAGGACAGAGAAGAGGTAAACTCTGATTTGGGCTGCAACAAAAAAGTTGGAGTGAAAAGTTTCTGGGAGTAGATGGCACCAGGGGATAGAGGTGACATCATCTTTTCTTTTGTTTCTTTCTTTCTTTCTTTTTTTTTTTTTTTTTTTTGAGACGGAGTCTCGCTCTGTTGCCCAGGCTACAGTGCAGTGGTGTGAAGAGGGCCCACCACAGCTTGGACTTCCCAGGCTCAAGTGATCCTCCTAACTCAGCCTCCTGAGTAGCTAGGGTGCACCACCACATCTGGCTAATTTTTTTTTTTAAGTTTTTGTAGAGACAGGGTCTTGCTATGTTGCCCAGGCTAATCTCAAACTCTTGGGCTCAAGCGATCCTCCCACCTTGGCCTCCAAAAGTCTTGGGATTACAGGCATGAGCCACCGCACTCAGCTGACACCATTTTTTCAATCGTTCAAATATTATCTCAGTTTGATCACACAAATCTTCACCTTTATTGTGCTAATCCTGGGCCTCCAGGGAGACTGTTCTACGCAAAATGACTGTGGATAAGTGGTGATGACGTAAACTCAGTGAGGAGGGAGAACGGAGGGAGGAAAAAGAGAAGCTTAGACTTGGATGCATCAAATTCCAGAAGCCTGAGGAGCTGTTGGCTGGAGAGACTCCCTGACTTGGGCATCTGGCAGAAGGTGGGAGGGACTCAGGAGTGGAGACACAAATTTGAGAGCCATCAGAAAGTGGTCACCGAAGCCAGGGAAATGGATAGAACAATCTAAAGAAGGGTTGTCTGGGTGCGATGGCTCACATCTATAATCCTGGCAGTTTGGGAGGCCGAGGTGGGTGATCACTTGAGGTCAGGAGTTCGAGACCAGCCTGGCCATCATGGTGAAACTCCATCTCTACTAAAAATACAAAAATTAGCTGGGCGTGCCTGAAATCCCAGCTACTCTATCTCAGGAGGCCGAGGCAGGAAATTCACTTGAACACGGGAGGCAGAGGTTGCAGTGGGCTGAGATCGTGCCACTGCACTCCAGCCTGGGTGACAGAGTGAGACTGTATCTCAAAAAAACAAAAAAAAAGAGAAGACAGGAAAACATGGCCTAGGAAACAGTGGGGTTGGAGAAGGAGAACAAGCATAACAGGAGAGGTGTGAGGTGACAGGGAAGGTTGGGTTGTGGAAGCTGTGGCAGGAACACTTCATTTGACGGAGTCCAAAGGGAACCAAAGCCATCCACTGCACGTCTCAACTGAGAAGGGACAGTGGGGCATTGCTGAAGCTGTCGCAGTGGAGTGATGGGGCAGAAACCAGATTTGGGTTGGTGGGTTGTGAAAGAAAGTTGAAGTAAACACAGCAAAGACTGGTTTCAGGAAATTTGTTGTTCAAACAATGGAGAGGTACAGGGCAATAGTCGAGAAAGCAGGATTTTGTTTTGTTTTGTTTTCTTTTTTGAGACGCAATTTCACTCTTATTGCCCAGGCTGGAATGCAATGGCATGATCTCGGCTCACTGCAACCTCCGCCTCCCGGATTCAAGCAATTCTCCTGCCTCAGCATCCCCAGTAGCTGGGATTACAGGCATGTGCCACCATGCCCGGCTAAATTTTTATATTTTTATTAGAGGCGGGGTTTCACCATGTTGATCAGGCTGGTTTTGAACTCCTGACCTCAAGTGATCCTCCCACCTTGGCCTCCCAAAGTGCTGGGATTACAGGCGTTAGCCACCACGCCCGGCCTGTTTTTTATTTCTATTTTTGAGACAGGGTGTCACTCTGTCACTCAGGCTAAACTGCAGGGGCACAATCACCACTCACTGCAGCCCTGACCTCCTAGGCTCAAGCAATCCTCCCACCTCAGCCTCCCAGGTAGCTGGGACTACAGGTGCATGTCACCATCTTCAGTTAATTTTTGTATTTTTTGAAAAGACGGGGTCTCATTATGTTGCCCAGGCTGGTCTTGAACTCCTGAGCTCAAGCAATTCTCCTGCCTTGGCCTCCCAAAGTGCTGAGATTACAAACATGAGCCACTGCACCCAGCCTGTTTTTGTTTTTAAGTAATGAACAAAACAGTCAGGTAAAGAACACTTCAGGTGAGCAGGAACTAATGGAAAGGAAGCGACAGAAAAAGAAGGAAGCCTTTTCACTAGAATTCCTGGAGCCCTTGTTATCTATAGTACTTAAAAATATTTAAATAACCAGAAAATTATGGCCAGGCTTGGTGGCTCACACCTGTAATCCCAGCACTTTGGAAGGCCAAGGTGGGCAATGGCTTGAGCCCAGGAGTTCACTAGGGTGAAACCCCCTCTCTACAAAAAGTTCAAAAAAATTATCCGGGCATGGTGGCATGTGCCTGTAGTCCCAGCTCAGGAGTGGGCCAGTTAACTACAGGTGGGAGGTTGAGATGGGAGGATCACTTGAGCCTTCAAGGTGGAGGCTGTAGTGAGCTGAGATTGTGCCACTGCACTCCAGCCTGGGTGACAGAGTGGGACCCTGTCTCAAAAAAGAAAAAGAAAGGCTGGGCGCAGTGGCTCACGCCTGTAATCCCAGCACTTTGGGAGGCTGAGGCGGTCAGATCACGAGGTCAGGAGATCGAGACCATCCTGGCGAACACTGTGAAACCCCGTCTCTACTAAAAATACAAAAGAATTAGCCAGGCATAGTGGCAGGCGCCTGTAGTCCCAGCTACTGGGGAGGCTGAGGCAGGAGGATGGCATGAAGCCGGGGGGTGGAGCTTGCAGTGAGCGGAGATAGCGCCACTGGATTCCAGCCTGGACAACAGGGCAAGACTCCATCTCAGAAAAAAAAAAAGAAAAAGAAAATTACATGCACAAATCCTTCAACTGAAGAGGACAATGAGCTGCATCGCTCCGTGGTATCTGCGAATTCTCCTCCATGGGGATGGAGAGCACATAGCTGTTGAGCTGTTGCCAGTGTAGCTGTTGTTTCAACAGCCAGGAGTACATTTCCCTGCAATGCTCCCACCTCTGGTCTCCTCACATCCTCACATTTTCTCTTCTTTTCTTTTCTTTCTTTTTTATTTTTTTGAGACGGAGTCTCGCACCGTCGCCCAGGCTGGAGTGCAGTGGCGCGATCTCAGCTCACTGCAAGCTCCGTCTCCTGGGTTCACGCCATCCTCCTGCCTCAGCCTCCCGAGTAGCTGGGACTCCAGGCACTTGCCACCACGCCCAGCTAATTTTTTGTATTTGTAGTAGAGACGGGGTTTCACCATGTTAGCCAGGATGGTCTGGATCTCCTGACCTCGGCCTCCCAAATTGCTGGGATTACAGGTGTGAACCACCGCGCCTGGCCACTTTTTTTTTTTTTTTTTTGGCAGAGTCTCACTCTGTTGCCCAGGCTGAAGTGCAGTGGCGCAATCTCAGATCACTGAAATCACTGCAACCTTTGCCTCCCGGGTTCAAGCGATTCTCCTGCCTCAGCCTCCTGAGTAGCTGGGATTACAGGCGCGCACCACCATGCCGGGCTAATTTTTTTTTTTTTTTTTGAGAGGGCATCTGGCTCTGTCGCCTAGGCTAGAGTGCAGTGGCGCTATCTCGGCTCACTGCAAGCTCCGCCTCCCGGGTTCACGCCATTCTCCTGCCTCAGCCTCCCCAGTAGCTGGGACTACAGGCGCCCGCCACAACACCCGGCTAATTTTTTGTATATATATATATATTTTTTTAATAAAGACGGGTTTTCACCGTGTCAGGATGGTCTCGATCTCCTGACATCGTGATCCGCCCGTCTCGGCCTCCCAAAGTGCTGGGATTACAGGCGTGAGCCACCGCACCCGGCCAATTTTCTGTATTTTGTAGTAGAGATGCAGTTTCACCATATTAGCCAGGCTGGTCTCGAAGTCCTGACCACAGGTGACCCACCGGCCTCCTCATCCCAAAGTGCTGGGATTACAGGAGTGAACCACCGCGCCCGCCCCATTTTCTTTTTCTTTCTTTCTTTCTTTTTTTTTTTTTTTTTTTGAGGCGGAGTTTCGCTCCTGTTGCCCAAACTGGAGTGCAATGGCATGATCTTGGCTCACTGCAGCCTCAGCCTTCTGGGTTCAAGCGATTCTCCTGCTTCAGCCTCCCAGGCAGCTGGGATTACAGGTACACGCCACCACGCCCGGCTAATTTTTTGTATTTTTAGTAGAAATGGGGTTTCACCATGTTAGCCAGGCTGGTCCCGAACTCCTGACCTCAGGTGATCCACCCACCTCAGCCTCCCAAAATGCTGGGATTACAGGTGTGAGCCACCACATCTGGCCATTTTCTTAATCTTACTACAAAAAGGTTCAGCTTCCCTTCCTAGGTCCTCTCTTCTCACCCTCCAGCCTGTAGCTAACGGGCCCACTCCTGAGCTCCGCCTTCCATGTGATTCTTTTGCTGCAGCGGTCACACTGTGAGGTTTCTTGCCTGCCTTCCCCAGTCTTGGTCTTAGGCTTCTCCAATTTCTTGAGCTCAGGGCTAGGCACGGGTAAGTCGGTCCTTAACAGTCTAAGGCCAGTGGTCATTCTTGTATGCTTCACGGCCTCGTCTTGCTACTTAGTTGTTTTCTTGTCTCTTCTCTTTTTCTGTCCACTGTGCCCGATGCCCCGGAAATCCGAATCTTCAACTCTGAAAGGGCCGGAGGGGTGCGGCGGGCGATAGATAGCAAGTGGAGGGTCAGCGAGGAAGCGGAATCCGGCGGCCTCCGGGAGCGGCCGGCAGAGGGCGCGCCGGGACCGGGAGAGGCGACTGCGGCTGCTGCGGGCAGCTGGCGGCGAAGGAGACGCGGAGGACGCCAGCCCTTGGGAAGCGCACGTGGGGCTTGCCCAGCAGCGCCTGGGGGCACGTGTGCTGCCCCGGGGCGCGCTGCCCTGGCTAAAAATACAACGCGCACCCGCGTCCTCCCTGGTGGGGGAGGCGGCCCTAGGGAGGAGATACTGCTGGAGCCTCGTTTTTCTGGGATTACAGGCGTGAGCCACCGCGCCCGGCCCATTTTCTTAATCTTCCCAGGCTCCCGAGAAACCTGGTACAAGCCTCGCACTGCCCCTCAGTCCTCTCATCTGTGGAATGGGGGCCGTTCATGTATTCGATAAATATTGAACGTGTACGTTGTACCAGGCACTGCTGCAGGCGTCCAGCTTAACTACAAGGCTCTTACTGCTGTGGAGTTTACAGCCCACTGTGTGCAGGGAAATAAAATAAGCAAATGGTCAGGATCATGTCATATTTTCAAAAATGCCATTAGAAAAATAAGGAATGGTGTGATGGCGAAGAGTGGCACGTAAGCTGCTGCTTGGAGAGAGCCACCTGGAGACACGAAGGCGCGTTTTCGGCAGAGGAAACCGCATGTGCAAAAGGCCTCGAGTCCGCTGGAGCTTGACGCCTGGCCGGAGACCACAGCCCCCGGCATACAGACGTGAGAGACCCCAAAGCCAGTCTAGGGCGGTAGACATCAGAGCTGCAGCGGTCGGTATGGGCCACATGGGTGGACACATTGATCAAAACTCAGCGAAGGCCGGGCACGGTGGCTTACCCTGTCATCCCAACACTTTGGGAGGCTGAGGCGGGCGGATCACCAGAGGTCAGGAGTTCGAGACCAGCCTGGCCAATATGGTGAAACCCCATCTCTACTAAAAATACAGAAATTAGCCAGGTTGTGGTGGCGCAAGCCTGTAATTCCAGGTACTCAGGAGGCTGAGGAGGGAGAATCGCTTGAACCCGGGAGGCAGAGGCTGCAGTGAGCCCAGATCGCGCACTGCGCTCCAGCCCGGGCGACAGAGGGAGACCTTGTGTCAAAACAAACAAACAAACAAACTCAGCGAAGAAGAATTGCGCATTGTACTACTTGTAAACCTTGTTTCCAATACAAACATAGGTAGGGGCAGGCCGGGAGCCACCTTGAGGTGGCTCAAGGCAGGAGAATCGCTTGAACCAGGGAGGCGGAGGTTGTAGCGAGCCGAGATCGCGCCACTGCACTCTAGTCTGGGCGACAGGGCGAGACCCTGTCTCAAAAAAAAAAAAAAAAAGAAAAGAAAAGAAAAAGAAAGAAAAAAGAAAAGTAGGGGGTCCTGGCTCATGGGAGCAAGTGTGAGCCGGGAAAACCATTCTGCTGCGCTTTCCAGCCTATCCTGCGGTTGGATCCCGCAGCCCCAGGGTGTGCAGGGCCGTCCTGTGGGGAGAGGGTGCCAAGGGCGGTGGTGGCCGGAAGGCGTCTGCACCTGGCAGCATACGGGCAAGGTCGGTCTCGAGGGTGGAGGCGAGCGGTGCTACTCACTGCCAGAACCGAGGCTGCAGATTCCCGCCCCTCGCTCAGGTCGTTAGGGGCAACCTTGGCACTGCGGCCCCGGCCCCGCCCTTCCCGCAGAGGCCAGGTGGCGGTTGGGGCGCGACCGGCCCGTTTGATTTCCCGCGGCCGGTGGAAAGGGGCGGAGGGGGGAGGGGAAAGGGGCCGCCGGCCAATGGGTTGGGCCGGGGGCCGTCACGTGGCGGCCAGGGGGCGGGGCCCAGGTGTACTTACTGGGCGGCTGGCGGGGGCCGGGGCCGCGGTGCGAAGTCCGGGAGGCGGGGTCGGCGTGCGGTCCGGGGGTGCTGCTGGGCTGGGATTGGCCCGTGGTCGGGAGGCGGGGTCTGCGCGAGCGGCGGCAGCGGGCTGCCATTGGCCTCGGCTCCGGGCCCGCTGCCGGCGTGTGGGCGAGGCTCGGGGCGCGAGGACCGAGCAGGGCGGTGGGTTCGCGAGCCGGGGGGAGGGGCCGGGGCGGTGGCGGCTGTGGCCGGTACTGGACCCGGCGGGATGAGCGAGGTGGAGGCGGCAGCGGGGGCTACAGCGGTCCCCGCGGCGACGGTGCCCGCGACGGCGGCAGGGGTGGTAGCGGTGGTGGTACCGGTGCCCGCAGGGGAGCCGCAGAAAGGCGGCGGGGCGGGCGGCGGGGGCGGAGCCGCCTCGGGCCCCGCTGCTGGGACCCCCTCGGCGCCGGGCTCCCGCACCCCTGGCAATCCGGCGACGGCGGTCTCGGGAACCCCCGCCCCCCCGGCCCGGAGTCAGGCGGACAAGCCGGTGCTGGGTGAGGGGCAGGCGCGCACAGGGCGGCTCTGAGGGGTCGGCGGGCTGGGGGAGGGGCAGTGTGGAGCCCGGCAGGATCCGGAAAACCAAAGGCGGCCTGGCCCGCAGGCCCAGAGCGCTAACTGGGCTGGGAGCTGCGCACCAAAGTGGATTCCCCTGGTGGGAAATCCTGCCGTACCTTCCTGGGAGAGAGGGCGGGGCCGGCAGGTTCAGCTAAGGTCTTGGGGTGGAGAATAAAGCCCCAGGGTCCGGCCACGCCCCCGGGCGGGACACAGTGCCTAGTTGACTGGGTTAGAACTAGGCAAACCTCTGAGCCTGGCAAGCAGGTGCACTGGGGACCCTTGCATTGGGAGGGCTAGAAAAACCCTCAGTTATGACCTGGGGGCGGCACTTTGCAGACCAGGTGAGTACCCAGTTCTAGGTGAAGGGGCTGGATTTGTAGGATGTGGGGAACGTGACTTAGAGTTGGAAGGCTTTTTGAAAGCCTGAGTCCCTGTGTGGGTGATTTCATTTGGTGGACTAGGGTAGGAATACCTTGAAGCTACTAGTGAAACCTGGTTGGCTTGAAGGTAACCTGAATAGGTAATAAGGCAGTAGGCTAGATTTTTTTTTGTTTTGGAGTGTCTCAAAACTGAGTTCAACTCCATCTCTTCCCCCCATCTCACTGTCCCCACTGCATCTCTGCCTGGCAGCAATCCAAGTCCTGGGCACTGTCAAATGGTTCAACGTCCGGAATGGTTACGGATTCATCAACAGGTATCCAAGGAACCCAGGGCGGGGGTGGAATGGGTGTCTTCCCAGCTGGCCTGTGGGACTGGACACCCGCCCAACCTCATCGACCCCTGCGGAGGCACATGGTTGCAATGTCCAGCTGATGCTGGTTGAAAGCCTTTAACCGCAGCACAAATGTGTGCTTCGTGACAAGAGGAAGCCTCCTCCGCATCTTCAAGGGTAGCGGAGGATTAATGATTCAGGAACTTGGCAAACCTGGCTCTGACCCTGCCAGCTTCTCATCTCACCTTCTGGAATTGCTTCATTACTTTTACTCTGACATGCCTTTGGGGCAGAATGTATTATAGGGTTCTCTGTGCCTCAGGGCCCCCGGCTGGAATCCTCAACTGATTTCCTGTTATGGCAGCACTCACAACTCAACTCCCTTAAAGAGCTGTGGCTCATTCGAGCCCTCCACCTGTTGGGACTGAGGCTGACAGTGGGGGTCAGGAGGAAGGAGCCAGAGGCTGCTGCTTTCCTTCAGTAGGCAGCCCCACCCCTCAGCACCGGGAGAGGCTGTGGCAGTGGATTCTGAGCAGAGCCAGGTCTCCCCCAGTGGGCCCTTCCCCAGCCCAGGCATCCTGCCCGGCCTGGCTCTCCTGGGAGGCCCTAGTTCCCTCTTAGCAGGCTGACCTTTGTGCAGATCCAAGTGCTTTAAAGCTAAAACGTTTGTTCTGGGGAAGGGTCCCTGTCTAATTCTGGAAATGGCAGACTGGGTCGGGGGCAGAGTGCCTCCAGGAAAACTTTTCCTTTCTCCCCTCCCCCCACCCACTGGGGTTCTTATGATAGAGAATGGGTGAATGTTTTCTTCTCTCTCACCCTTGGTCCCACGCGTGTTGAGAGTGGTCCTGACTCTGGGATTCACCTCCAGGCTGAGGATGAGAATAAAGTTTGGCAGCTGTTTAGAGCAAGTTCCTGACACATTGTTCCCTTCTCAAACTTGTTCTGCCCCTCTGGCCCCATCTGCACTTTCTGCCTCCTTGACTATAGAAGGAAGAAGACTGGAATTTTCCAACCCTGATGGGGGTTGGGGGAGGGGGTGTTGGCCAGGGACAGTTGCACCCAGCGCTGGCAGGTTGTAAGGCTAGCCTGGGGTGGAAGGTGGAGTCCCGGCAGGGGCAGAGCTGTCTGAGGTTCCTCAAGGTGCCTTTGCCTCCCCAGCCTGCCCTTTCCTTGTGAAGTCCAGGTTTGGCACTGAGGTTTTAGGTGTATCTCTCTTTACACCAGCTTCTGGGGGCCCTGCTGGCTCTCCCTCCCATTCCCCAGGCCATGTCCACCCCTAACTGGAATGCTGGAGAGGATGGGCCCACTGAGCTTAGACTGGGCATCTAGGGGGACCTCAGTGAGGAGCTGAGGGCTTTGTTGAAGTCCCTTCCTTAACGACCCATCCTGTTCTGCAGGAATGACACCAAGGAAGATGTCTTTGTTCACCAGGTAAGAGCTAGGTTAGCTTTCTGAGGGGAAGAACCGGCCGTCTTTGAAGGCCTTTGCTGTAATCCTTAGCAGTGCGCTCCGCCATGTTTCTCTGGCTCTTCTTCACAACGGCCCATCCGCCTTGGGTGCCTGTGTCAACCACCATTAGCCGCACTTGTGCTGGGTTACTAAACGTCCGTCAGAATTGAGCATGTTACCCCTGGGCATGGCACGCTTACTACCCACCGGGACCTGTTAACACTCCAGGAAGCACTGAGGCAGTTTTCAGAGGGAGAAGGTCCTTGGGTGCAGTGGTTCTCAAAGCGTGGCCCCTGCACCAGCGGCAGCAGCATCACCTGACATCCGAATTCTCAGGTCCCACCCCAGACCTGGTGAATCAATCAGAGCTGGGGCTGGGGCTCCACAATCGGTTTAACGAGCTCTCCAGGTGATTCTGATGCACGCTACAGCTTGAGAACCACTGCTTGGTGGAAAGAGCTCTCACTGGGACTGAGGTAAGAAGCACAGTGCATTCTACCCACTTTGCGACTGAAGGCTGTCCCTGCCTTTTGCTTTGGAGTTCATATTTCTTGCCTCCCTTTCTGAAATCCCTGAGGGGTAAAGCGGGGCGGGAGGGGAGGTGCGGGGAGTGCATCCTGGGGATGGTGGTAACTGCACAATCTGCTGAGGCCCTGAGTTCAGGACTTTTCCCCTGCTAAACTTTGACCACCTCCTTGCTCCACCCTCCAGCTCTAGACCCCAAGTCAAATGTTGAAAGAATGAAATTGGGTGGTGGCCCCAGCAGGGGTGACAGAGACTCCTGTCTTGCTGTCTCACTTTTCACATGGCCTTTTCCCCAATCAGACAGCTATTAAAAGAAACAACCCCAGGAAGTTTCTGCGCAGCGTTGGAGATGGGGAGACTGTGGAATTTGATGTCGTGGAAGGAGAGAAGGTTTGGGGACTGCTATGGGGTATAGAGTTGACTAGGCTTACGGGAGGGTGGCCTGGAGGTCATCACAGGCTAAGACCCTCCTGGGGCCAGCTCTGACCCGTTCTGCGGGAATGGGACTGTGTTCTCTCACCCTGATGTCCTCTTCCTTAATGCTAGGGCTAAGGGATGTCCTAAGTATGTCCCTGTCATCGGTCGGCAGTGTCTGGGTTTCTTCTCTAGTTCACCAAGCACTTCGACATCCGTTCTCCACGTGGGGCCCTGTCCTAGACTTCCCGAGTCCGCCTCTGGAGTAAAAAGGTGGATGCTGGCTGCCAGGCCTTTCTCCACCCAGTCGTATACTCAGGAGGGTGCAGTAGCAATTATTTCAAAAGGACATGTTGCTCCTTCCCAAATGGGTGCAAGCACATTCCACTGCCTCTCCAGGGAGGGTAGAAAGAAGTTAGAGGAGCTAAAGGAAAGCTGGAGAGGGGTCTTCCCCTGAAAGAAGGGGAAGCAAGTTGGGAAATGCACATTGGCTGTTGGAGCAGGTTCTCACTATTCCCTTACCACCTTCCCAGGGCGCAGAAGCCACTAATGTAACTGGGCCTGGGGGAGTACCCGTGAAGGGCAGCCGTTATGCCCCCAACCGACGTAAGTCCCGCCGATTCATCCCCCGGCCTCCCTCAGTTGCCCCACCACCCATGGTGGCAGAGATCCCCTCGGCGGGGACAGGACCTGGCAGTAAAGGGGAGCGGGCTGAAGACTCTGGGCAACGGCCCCGACGATGGTGCCCCCCACCCTTCTTCTACCGACGGCGGTTTGTGCGAGGCCCCCGGCCTCCCAACCAGCAGCAGCCTATAGAGGTGAGGGGATGCTGGAATATGGGAGCCAGTTCCCCAAGTTCAGGAGAGGAGTGGGAGTTAGGATAGAGACCATGGGTCCCCAAAGAAGGAGGAACTGAGGGTTGGGCAGAGCTGTGGATAATCTGGCTCCAGAGCAGCTGCTGTCCCCACAGCTCACCGGGGCCTTTGCATGTTCCCAGGGCACTGACAGGGTAGAACCCAAAGAGACAGCCCCATTGGAGGGGCACCAACAGCAGGGAGATGAGCGAGTCCCCCCGCCCAGATTCCGGCCCAGGTACCGAAGGTAAGACCCCCCTGCTGGGGCTTGGTCTTCCCCTTCCAGTGTTGGATCCTTGGGGCAAGGGACAGGAGGATGGAAGGGTGAAGCTCTAGGCAGAGCCTGGGCTCCTGGCGAGACAGGTGCCTTGCGGGGAGGCAGTGCTCATGGGCTGGAAGCCTGGCTCCTGGAGGTGGGGTGGGGCAGCTGGGTGAGCCCTGGGGAGGGAGTATTCCCTGGTCCCCTCAGAGCCTTGTTCCTTGCCTTAGGCCTTTCCGCCCCAGGCCACGCCAGCAGCCTACCACAGAAGGTGGGGATGGTGAGACCAAGCCCAGCCAAGGTCCCGCTGATGGTTCCCGGCCTGAGCCCCAGCGCCCACGAAACCGCCCCTACTTCCAGCGGAGACGGCAGCAGGCCCCTGGCCCCCAGCAGGCCCCTGGCCCCCGGCAGCCCGCAGCCCCTGAGGTGAGGACCTCAGATGTGGGATGAAAGAAAAGGCTGAGACCAGCTCCCTCCCCCACCTGCTCCTTTTTCTTTCCTACTCTATCCTTTGGCTCCTCCCCTCCCCTGCCCTGGCCCTGCCACCACCCTCTTCCATGCAGCCTGCTGGGTCCCCCCCTGGCAGGTGCCGCCTCCCACCAGGAAGCCCCCACAGAGGCAATCAAGCCCATGATTGCCCATGATGGCCATGCCCCCCCCAACCCATCCCCCACTTGCTGCCTGGAGCCATCCTACCAGCTTGTAGATGTGAACTGAGGGGTGTGATTGAGGTTTTAATGGGAAGGGAAAAAGTGAAAGAAGGTTGAAGTTCAGGGCCCTGAAGAACAAGTCTCAGCCCTGCGCGATGTCTCATGCCTGTAATCCCAGCACTTTGGGAGGCAGAAGCAGGCAGATCAGTTGGGGTCAGGAGTTCAAGACCAGCCTGACCAACATGGAGAAACCCCGTCTCTACTAAAGATACAAAAATTAGCCAGGCGTGGTAGCACATGCCTGTAATCCCAGCTACTTGGGAGGCTAAGGCAGGAGAATCACTTGAACTGGGAGGGGGAGTTTGCAGTGAGCCAAGATCACGCCACTGTACTCCATCCAACCTGGAGTGAGACTCTGTCTCAAAAACAAAAAGAACAAGTCTCAATTGGCCACCGCTGTTCTTTAGACCTCAGCCCCTGTCAACAGTGGGGACCCCACCACCACCATCCTGGAGTGATTCCAACTCAACTCAGAGGACACCCAGAGCTGCCATCTGGTGAGTGGCTGGTGCAGTTGGGTGGGTGGCCAGGAAGGTGAGGTACTGGGTGGCGATGACAAGTCGCTGTTGTTCACAATCCGTCCATTTCCTTTTCTCTCTCAGGTATCTGCCAGTTTTTCCAAATGACCTGTACCCTACCCAGTACCCTGCTCCCCCTTTCCCATAATTCATGACATCAAAACACCAGCTTTTCACCTTTTCCTTGAGACTCAGGAGGACCAAAGCAGCAGCCTTTTGCTTTTTCTTTTTTCTTCCCTCCCCTTATCAAGGGTTGAAGGAAGGGAGCCATCCTTACTGTTCAGAGACAGCAACTCCCTCCCGTAACTCAGGCTGAGAAGGAACCAGCCAGCTCTTACCTCCTCCTGGTTGCTTTTCTTGCCCCCACCCCAAGTTTATTTTTGTTTTCCCCCGGCCCCCTACCTCTGAAGCCATTTTATGATCTGTCATGTGCCACCTGAGCCTCCAGTAAAAACAAAAACAGGCTTTCCTGTGGTCTTGGTCTCCATCTCTTCTGTTTTGGAGAATCGCTAGTAACTCACTGTTGAAGGTGGGGAGGAGGGGATGTGGGGCCGTGGGCAGGGCCTGGCATCCTTGCTGCCATGTCTCCAGCTGTGTCCCTGGTGAAGAGTGCCCCTATCATGGGTTTCACTGCCCATCTGTGACATGGGCTGACACCTCCCTCACAGAGTGAGTATTCTGCAAATGCCAAGAGCAATGCCCGGCACTGGCAGCTACAATTTATTGAGCATTTACTATTAATAAAGCAACGAGTAGAAATGTGAGTAGGGGCATGAGCAATGGCATCCAGAAGATTCTGAGGCCTTGAGCTGAGGCAGGACAGAGGGAGGAAGAGGGGTGAAGAGTTATGGTCCCTGTCTCAGCCCATCCTCAAGTACCTCCACAATAGGATGCTTGTCTTCAGCAGTGACTTTATAGAAGTATCTATATATATACATTTAGTACAACCGACCTTTGGTTTCTTCTCTCAATCCCCTTTTCAAACGTATATAAAAATATCCAAAGGCTCCTCCCAGCCCAGTGTTTCCAGGCAGCCTTTCAAATCCCCTCTTTGCCTTAGTTGGTCAAAAGCCTGTGGATGCAGCACCCTTCCAGGAAGGGAGAGGAAGAAAGTTAGGGCTCCTTCTTGGCAGCCTTGGGAAACCATCGGGGTAGAGCCCCAAGCCTAGAGGCGGGAGCCTGCCGTCCTTCCATCTTGCCACACATGGGCACATACTTTCCTGTTCCCTCTTGCCCTGGAAGGCTGAGCCTGCAGTGAGGGAGGTGAGTCCTTTTCCCTGCAGGGGTCAAGAGAGAACTCCCTTCGCCAGGCGCGGTGGCTCACGCCTGTAATCCCAGCACTTTGGGAGGCTGAGGCAGGCAGATCACGAGGTCAGGAGATCGAGACCATTCTGGCTAACATGGTGAAACCGCGTATATACTAAAAATACAAAATAAATTAGCCAGGTGTGGTGGCATGCGCCTGTAGTCCCAGCTACT
The DNA here is from genome assembly GCF_000001405.40 of Homo sapiens. NCBI lineage: Eukaryota > Metazoa > Chordata > Mammalia > Primates > Hominidae > Homo > Homo sapiens. The sequence continues at coordinate 7,287,248 of NC_000017.11, read as the reverse complement.
CCGGAGGCTGAGGCAGGAGAATGGCGTGAACCTGGGAGACAGCTTGCAGTGAAGCAAGATCACGCCACTGCACTCGAGCCTGGGCGACAGAGCGAGACTGTCTCAAAAAAAAAAAAAAAAAAAAAAAAAAAAACCCCTTTGCCCAGAGTCTGCGTGGCAAGAATTCAGTGAAAGTCCCAGATTGTGGGAGGAGTCCAAGGTGGTGGGAAACTGGATTTCTTGTCTCCTGTCCTGCTCTCTGCTCTGGTTTGTCCCACTGAGAAAGTCTAGACCTGTCTTCCCTCCAATCCCCCTTCTCTAGCAGCGAAGAAGGTATTCTGGAGCTGAGTCTGGGGAAGGTGGGGAGGAAAGGGGATGGGGGAAGGAAGAGGGAGGGGAGAGTGGCCCACCCTGATGGCCACGGCCAAACCACAACACATAAATAATCCAAGAGAGTCACACGAGGGGAATGAGGGGGTGCTCAGACCACCCTTCCCCCAGCTTCCCAATTCTACCAGGCTGCAGGGATTCTTTTCCACCCGGAAATAATAGGGAAGAGAGGGTTAAAGTGCTGCAGAGGAAAGGAAGGGGTCTCTGGGCCGGGTAGAGAGAGCTGGCTCTCCCACCCCTGCCTGGCCCCTCAGTCGTTCTCATCTGGCCCTAAATACTCAAGTTCTGTGCTGGGTTTCACCTCCTGCTCTAAAAGAGAGGGTGTCCGGTGGAAGGCAGCTGAGATCTGGTCAAACGTCCGGCCTCGAGTTTCAGGTACTCTTAAGAAGGTGAAGATGAAGAAGCCCAGCAGGAGGACCGCAAATAGAAGGAAGACGTAGGGCCCCATAGCCTCCTGGGACAGGTGGAGAAAGAGGTGTTGACGGAGTGAGGTGGGGAGGGAAGGGGTAGTTTCAGGCAACCAGGAGCTAAAGGCCTTCATAGGGAGCTGGGGGGACGGCAGACAGCAGCTGCCTCCTCCAGGGACAAGGGAAATGAGCAGGAATGAGAATTTACACTGAAAAGAGGATTCTCTGAACCCCAAACACTCTTAGTTTTCGCCCTCTTCACCATCCTCAGTTACTGCACTCAGAGGAGAGTCCCAGCTGTTTGTAGTATTAATGCAAAGTGTATCATTTTATTCTTGGAGTAAGGTAAGTTATGCCACTGGTGCGTTTCAGACACCTCAGTTACTATCCAATCTAGGTCAGCTCCCTTCCTTGCTTTGATTCTGTGGAGCAGGTGGTCCACCAAACTGACCCAAAGACCCATGGTCTGTGGCTGGAGGAGTCCCTGACGGGGAAGCAGGTGGGCTAGCTGTGTGATGCCCACCTCTGGCCTACGGTGTGGGAGGCTGGGGCGGGGGGACCTACCGCAACATACTGGAAACCCATGCCAATGATGAAGTTGCTCGTCCAGTTGGAGAAACCAGCCACAGCCATGGCTGCCGGGCGGGGTCCCTGGCTGAAGAGCTCGGCCACGATGAACCAAGGAATGGGGCCAGGGCCAATCTCAAAAAATGCCACGAAGCCAAAGATGGCCACAATGGAGACGTAGCTCATGGCTGGAACTCGCTCCTAGGGGCCAGACAGGGAGGGTGGAGAATCCAGTTGAGGCCTTTCTGATCTTCCCTTGCCCTCAACTCAGAGAAGTGAAACCTAACCCCCTCCGCAGCAGCTTGTAGGGGGCCTGCTGTCCCGGGTTAGAGCAGGCCCTTGACTGGCATTCTGCTGGCTATCCCAAGTGGGTTCAAGGCAGAGGAAATGTTATGGCCTCTCAGTTCTTATGACGGTCAGCTCTCCCTGGACTCTAAAGCTGGGTCCTTAGGAATGATTGTTCCTGAGGCTTGACAGGGGCTCTCCCTCCTGGCTGCCAGAGTTGTGCCACAGCTGCCTCCCAGTGCAGCCCAAATCCCTCAGGAGCAGACCACAATCCCAGCAGATTCTGGAGCCAGTCAGCCCCAGTCCTGGTCCGGAGCTGGCGCCAGGATTGAAAGCATGTGTGTTAAGAAGGGACCCTGGCTGGTCACAGAGACTCACAGGACCATTCCCATGGGGTGGGCTGCTAGCCCCTCCTAGCCTCCAGGCCTTACCAGCAGGAGCAGAGCCACAGTCATCAGGATGGCACAGCCACACATGCCCGCCAGGCCCAGGAGATGGAGCGTCCGGCGCCCCGCCCGCTCCACCAACAACACCTGCGGGGAGAGTCGGAGCTTGACCCCAGCCTTTTGGGCACGGGAAGTAGGAGGGGCCGCGTGGGTGAGGGCAACCAAGAGCAGGACCTCCGGGACACCCAGGGAGGTGAAGCCAGTGGCTCGGGCCATTCCAGAGGTGAGCAGTTACCGAGACCAAGGTGAAGACTGTGTTGACCACACCAGCTCCTATGGTGGCATAGGCAGGCTGGCCTACCCCTGCTGTCTCGAAGATGCTGGTCGAATAATAGAAAACCTAGAGGTGGGGGAGAAGAAGAAGTGATGGCAGGAATGCCCCTTCCTCTACTCCAGCCACAACAGGCTGGCCCTACCCTGGGTGTTGGTGGAGGGGGTTTGCTCCCCACTCTCGTCTACCCTCCCGGGGCTGTGCCCTGCCTGGAGGCTGCTCCACACATACAGCATTGATGCCAGAGAGCTGCTGGCTCAGCTGCAGCACGACCGCAATGATCAGGGGCTGCCGGTGGGTACGGCTGCCCAGGAGCTGGAGCAGGGACAGTGGCCGCTCACGCTCCAGCTTCCGCTTCTCATCCTTCAGCTCAGCCAGCACTCCAGAAACATCGGCCCAGCCTGTCAGGCGCTTCAGACCTGGAGAAGGGAAGGTCAGGCCTGAGGGGACCTGAGAGGAAGCCAGGTGCTAGCAAGATGAGGCGGAGGCATGGGCCTGGGCCAGGCTGCAGCGGGAGAGCTTACTCTTTCTGGCAGGCCCCTCGAGATTCTGGATGATGTAGAGGTAGCGGGGGCTCTCGGGACAGAAGGGCAGCAGGACCAGCTGCAGGAGGGCAGGTAGCACTGTGAGGCCCAGGAGCAGTGGCCACAGGCTGGCAGTGCCCAGGAGGGACTCCAAGCCCAGCACCTGTGGGAGAAGGTTGGGAAAGAAGGCAGGTCACTCAGCCCTTCTGCCTTACCTTGGAAGCCCACCATATTCTCCAGAGCCCCACTCTAACCACTGCCCAGGCACCCATGAGGCTTGCTCCGGTCACCTGGGCGATCAGAATGCCGATAACAATGGCCAGTTGGTTGAGCGTCCCCAGGGCGCCCCGCAGGTGAGTGGGAGCAATCTCCCCCACGTACATGGGCACCAGCCCTGATGTCAGCCCTGGGCGAGGGAAGAAGAGAGGGCTGAGGGCAGGTGTCCATTCCCATCTGAAAGCCCAGGCATGGTGAAAGAGAACAGGGCGCTAGGCAGGGCTGTGGTGCCCGTGAGTACCTGAGTAGGCGCCAATGAGGAATCGTCCAAGGATGAGCATTTCATAGGAGGCAGCAGCATTGGCCAGGCCCATGAGGCTGCCCCCCAGCACCGCCAGGACATTGTTGACCAGCATGGCCCTTTTCCTGGCAGGCAGACAGAGTGAGGCTGTGAGGGTGAGGGCACCCAGCAGTGGCTCCCTTCCTGTTTCCCCCACCCCTGCCCTCCAGCTGCGAACCTTCCAAGCCACTGAGAGATGATACCAATGAGGAAGGAGGAAATCATGCCGCCCACGGAAAAGATGGCCACGGAGAGGGCCCAGAGGGTGGTGAGGGTGCCTGGAGGGATGGAGCTGGGTCCCTCAGGCCCCTGCCTCCCCAGCCACGTCTCATTGTAGCTCTGTTCAATCACCTGGGGGACAGCAGAGGACAGATTTCCTGCAGACCGTCCCCTTTCCACCACCCCCGAGACACCTGTCCTCCTCGTTTGGGTACCCCCACCCTGCCAGCTGCAGGCCCTCACCTTCTGAGGGGCATTGATGACCCCAATGTTGTACCCAAACTGCAGGGAGCCAAGCACCGCAGAGAACACAGCAAGGACCAGGGTCCCAGTCACTCGCTGCTGAGGGGGTTCCCCATCCTGAACAGGCAGACACAAAGACACAGCATGTCACATGGAACCATGATTTTTTTCCTTCCGCTAGGGGCCCGGGCCCAGCTGGAGCCTGAAGATACTGGGCTCCACCCAACATGTTGGGTGAGGGAAACTGGGCCATATTAGGAATTGCACAAAGATCTCAATGTAAACAGGAGCTGAACTGCAACCTGGGCATAAAGGAGAAACTGGATGTTTGGGTCCATAAGGCAGAGAAATGTTTGAGAACTTGTCTCAAAATTCTTCTGTGACCTTGAGACAGGCTTGGCCTTAAGAGCTCAGATTTGTGTGACCTTGGCCAAGTCACTTCCCTGCCCCGAACCTGAGTGTCCTCTGTGAGATGGGGGTGATGTTGCCTGCCTTGCCTACCTATCTGTGAGAGTGTTGTGAAAATCAACATCACATGTTAACAATATCCTTGACAGTGCTGGTTTCATAAATTAACACGTGCATTATTATCATCAGCCACTGTCCTCTTCCCTCCCCTCTGGGGGTTCTGTCAGCCAGCTCCAGGAGGCCCCCAACAGGACCAAGAAGTGCTGTTCCAGAAAGGACATCCCGGTCATCTAGGGGTGGCCTTCTCTATCTACGTCGTGGCCTGCCCTCCCCCTCTAACCTCCGTGCAGGGAGGGCCGTCCAGGGGTTCTGCCTGGGAGAGCCATGCCCAGGGGAGGAGGGCAGGAAGGTAGTGTGAGGGGCGGTGGCAGTGGTGGCCGCTCGCTGGCGGCACAGACTGTCTCCAAGCGGAAACCTGAGCTGGAGGAGGGGGGGCTGACAGTCCCCTCTGCCCCTCCACCAACCATGGGGCCAAGGGAAAGTTCAGCGTCCTGGAGGGCGGCCAGGAGTGGGGGTGGGGGCCCACGGAGAGCCTCCGGTCCTCGAAACACTGCCCGTGAGCGAAGACGGACGGACAGCTCCCGGAGGGCAAGACCCGCCTGGATCTGCTTTCCCGAGTCGGATCGAGGGCAGGGTGTCCCCGATTCCGGAGCGCCGCGCCGCCTACTAGGCAAGGGGGTGAACCCTGGCTCGCAGAATCCACTTGCTGCCTGTGCCCCGAAAGGCCCTCCAGACCCACTCTGCCTTTTGGTAGGATTGGAATCTCACAGTCACGGGTTGTCCAGGCCGGGTATAAATAGCCAGCCCCCTACCTTCACCCCCTGCGCCTGCGCAGGAACCACCCCCAGCTGACCCCAACCGCGACCCCAGCCCAAGAAAAGCGGGACCCGTGCCCCCCCGCCCCGCCCCCTCATGATGAATCCTACTTCGGAGCCTATCTGTTGGAAGCCCGACGGCATCTCGTCTTAGAAGAGCTGGACGCGCAGGGGCGGCGAAGATGAAAGAACCGATCCTGGAGTCTCTGACTCCGGCCTGGAGCGCAGAACCTGCGGAGGCCGCGGGGGTCCCGGAGTGACGTGCGAGGGCGGGCCCGATGGGACCCACAGCCACAAGCCAAGGACCCGGAGAGCAGTGGGGCTCCCGCGGATCTGGTGGAGCGGGGCTGGGGGAAAAGACGCGAGAAGCCCCCGCCACCTCGCTCCTGCCCCCGCGGGCCACGCCCTTCACAGCACCCATTGGCCAGGAGCCCGCACACCCCAGAAGGCCACGCCCCCTCCGCCTGGGGTTTAGAGTTTGGCTGGAGTTGGTGGGGCGGGCCAATGAGGCCACGCCCCTCCGCGTGGCTGGCGAGACACGCCTCTCGGGTTCCCGCCAGCCTCCGACTGGGAAGTTTTGAGAAAAGAGTCCCTGGAACAAAAGGCCCCGCCCACCCACGTGTTAGGACTCCGCCCACCAGCTAGGATCCCGGGCTGCAGAAGCATCTTAAACTCTGCGGGTCTGGACAGTGGGGTCTGAGAGGAGAGGACGGGCCAGGTGTACTTGCCCCGGGGAAACTCCAGCGGCCTGAGACGGCTCGCGAGCCGGCGCGCGGGTTGGGAGAGGAGCAATGCCCCAAAGTAACCCGGGGCTGCTATTTTTAGCTCCCACGTTGGGAGCCTCCAAATGTCAGGTCCCGGGCGTCCCGGCCTGTCCCAGGCGGGGGCGGAGAGACAGGGAGATGACGCCTTAAAGAGTCCGCGACATGCTTCCCACGCGAGTGTGGCCCTGGGGGCCAGGAAATTCCGTTCCCACAACGGGTCTGGTGGCCGGGCTGCTTGGTCCTGTCTTTCAGCGCCTCCCTGCTCCGGGCACTGTCTATCCCGCCCTTCCCCTACACACATTCCCCAGGTTGGTTCCTGGAGCCGGTCCGAGGGACAAGTGGTCACAACCGACCACACCACCAGCCCTGAGGTCTCTGAGCCTCTGAGGTCTCTGAGCATATGCTGGCCGCGTGAACGACACGCTCTCTGGAGGCTGCTCCGGGTTTGGATCCTCGGCCAAATTCTGCCAGGCAGAAAGTGCGCGACCTAGGGTCGGCGTGTGGGGAGAGAGAAGCCGAAATACCCAGAGCGTGGAGAGTGTCTGGCTCAGAAAACGGGCTTCGGAAGCGCAGGGTTGTGCTGCCACCTGGAGGGCGAGCGAGGAGCCGCAGTGGATTGCACTTGGAATCTCAACCCACTATTTCTCGCCTTTCCGCCACCATAGGGCTTCAGTGACATCTGACCCAGGCCCTTCTCTGGAGCTGCAGATCCAGGTGTTCGTTACCGCCCGGATGTGGCAGCTCTAGTGATCAGCATGTCCAAACCTGCTCCTCCTCCTAACTTCCTTATTTCAATGAATTACCCGCCCAGTCACCCCTATGGTAGAAGTCAGGCTCGATTCCTCCTGTCCTGCGCCGCTCTCCTCGTTTATCCAGTTAGTTTCCAACATTGGTGCTTTGACCTCCAAAACTCTCTCACATTCATCCGATATTCTCCGTGGCGGCTGCCACTTCAGTCCAGATCACCATCACCCTCACTGGTCTTCGTGCTCCTCTTATTTCCTTTATGACGAGGGCAGAGAACAATTTTCGAAGGTCCAATCTCATCTCTCAAGCAAGAAGTCACTGTCTCTGTTGCCCCAATTGCCAAGTTCAAATCCCTTTTCAGAGTGAACAAAACCTCCTGCCTCTCTTATCCGATCTCTGGCCTTACCTATCTCTCCTGCCTCTCCTTCTATCTCCTTCGCCTCCTGTTCTGGGCAATGCCTAAGTCCTTATTGTACCCAGAACACACTGTGCCTTTACATCCCTTCTTGATTCCTTTGCTGCACTAATCCCCTGAAAAATCTGGAATGCCGGCCCGGCCTGGTGGCTCATGCCTGTAATCCCAGCACTTTAGGAGGCCAAGGCAGGTGGATCGACTGAGGTCAGGAGTTTGAAACCAGCCTGGCCAACATAGAGAAACCCCATGTCTGCTAAAGATACAAAAATTAGCCGGGCGTGGTTATGCACACCTGTAATCCCAGCTACTCGGGAGGCTGAGGCAGGAAAATGGCTTGAACCCAGGAGGTGGAGGTTGTAGTGAGCCAAGATCGTGCCCTTGCACTCCAGCCTGGCGACAGAGTGACTCCGTCTCAAGAAGAAAAAAAAAAATCCGGAATTCCAAAGGACTCCTCTTCATCCTTCAAAGAAAGCTTCCTCACCCAGTTCCTGCTCCACAGGTTCACTTTGTTTCCGGCTTCTGGGGACCTTGATCCCTGAGTTCCAGCACAGAAGATTGAACGAATGACAGTTATTAGCACACTGTCTTCACTGATCTATGTCTCATTTTTATTTTTGTTTTTGTTTGTTTTGAGACAGAGTTTCGCTCTTGTTACCCAGGCTGGAGTGCAATGGCACAACCTTGGCTCACTGCAACCTCCATCTTCCGGGTTCAAGCCATTCTCCCGCCTCAGCCTCCCGAGTAGCTGAGATTATAGGCATGCGCCACCGGGCCCAGCTAATTTTGTATTTTTAGTAGAGATGGGGGATTTCACCATGTTGGTCAGGTTTGTCTCCAATTCCCGACCTCAGGTGATCCACCTGCCTCGGCCTCCCAAAGTGCTGGGATTACTGGCGTGAGCCACCATGCCCGGCGATTTTACTGGTTTTGAGTTGAGGTCTCTGTTGCTCAGGCTCGAGTGAGAGGCACAGTCACCGATCACTGCAGCCTAGACTTCCTGGGCTCAAGCGGTCCTCTCACCTCAGCCTCCCAAGTAGCTAAGACTACACGTTCGATTCACCACACCCAAATGCTTATTCCAATGCATTCAATTATTCCAGTGCATTAAATGTTCATTTTTTTCTTTGTGCTCTTACAAAATATAAATCATTTTGTGTGCAAAGTTTTTTTTTTTTTTCTTTTTATGAGACAGTGTCTCGCTCTGTCACCCAGGCTGGAGTGCAGTGGGGCGATCTCCACTCATTGCAGCCTCCGCTTCCCAGGTTCAAGTGATTCTCCTGTCTCAGCCTCCGGAGTGGCTGGGATTACAGGCTTGCGCCACTGTGCCTGGCTAATTTTTGTATTTTAAGTAGAGACGGTTTCACCATGTTGGCCAGGCTGGTCTTCAACACCCGACCTCAAGTGATCTGCCCACCTCAGCCTCCCAAAGTGCTGGGATTACAGGTGTGAGTCACCACGCCCGGCCCAAACATTTTAAATTTCCATAAATAGCATCTTGTTATATATTTCACTCTGATCTTATTTTCAGTAATCACGATGTTTTTAAAATCCACTCGTGGCCAGGCGTGGTGGCTCACGCCTGTAATCCCAGCACTTTGGGAGACTGACGCGGACGGATCACAAGGTCAGGAGATCGAGACCATCCTGGCTAACACGGTGAAACCCTGTCTCTACTAAAAATACAAAAAATTAGCCAGACGTGGTGGCGGGCGCCTGTAGTCCCAGCTACTCGGGAGGCTGAGGCAGGAGAATGGCATAAACCCGGGTGGCGGAGGTTGAGGTGAGCCGATATCATGCCACTGCACTCCAGCCTAGGTGACAGAGTGAGGGTCCATCTCAAACAAACAGACAAACAAACAAACACAATGAGATCAGGCTGGGCACAGTGGCTCACGCCTGTAATCCCACCACTTTGGGAGGCCAAGGCCGGCCAAACACCTGAGGTCGGGAGTTCGAGACCAGCCTGACCAACATGGAGAAACCCTGTCTCTACTAAAAATACAAAATTAGCTGGGTGTGGCGGTGCATGCCTGTAATCCCAGCTACTCAGGAGGCTGAGGCAAGAGAATCACTTGAACCAGGGAGGCAGAAGTTGTGGTGAGTTGAGATCGCGCTATTGCACTCCAGCCTGGGCAACAAGAGTGAAACTTCATCTCAAAAAAAAAAAAAAAAAAAAGAGAGATCAGTTACTTTGTCAGATTTAGGCATTGCAGATACCTTCTCCCATTCTATCATCTCTATATTAATTTTTCCTTCATGAACTTCATGAAATAGATTTTTTTTCTTTTTTCATATGGAGTCTGGCTCTGTTACCCAGGCTGGAGTACAGTGGTGCAATCTCGGCTCACTGCAACCTCTGCCCACCGGGTTCAAGTGATTTTCTTGCCTTAGCCTCCTGAGTAGCTGGGATTACAGGTGTGAGCTACCACATGCAGCTAATTTTTGTATTTTTAGTAGAGACGGTGTTTCACCATGTTGGTGAGGCTGGCCTGGAGCTCCTGACCTCAGGTGACCCACCCACCTCGGCCTCCCAAAGTGCTAGGATTATATGTGTGAGCCACCGCTCCTGGCCAGAATAGAAATTATTAATTTAAGTGTAATGAAAATGACCATTTTTTCCCCTTATGGTTTGCAATTTTTGATAATTTGTATATATTCTTTCCCAACTCTGCACCATAAATGCATTCTTCTACATTTTCTTCCAGTAACTTTATAGTTTTACTTTTCACATTTAAGTCTTCTTGATTCCTCTAGAATTCATCCTTGTTTTAGGTGTTAGGGATCCAATTTACTTTTCTCTTTAGTGAACCACTTTTATCATATATCAAATTCTAATGTATGATGTAAGGGTCTGTCTCTGAATTTGTATTCTGTTCCATTGATGTATTTGTCTGTTCTTGCACAAGTTGATTTTTATGATACTTTGTAGCAAGTTTAAATTTCTGAGAAGGGCAAGAGACTTCTTGTTACTCATTCTTTTTTTTTTCTTTCTTTTTTTTTTTTTTTTTTTGAGAAAGAGTTTTGCCCTTGTTGCCCGGGTTGGATTGCAATGGCCCGATCTCAACTCGCTGCAACCTCTGTCTCCTGGGTTCGAGCGATTCTCCTGCCTCAGCCTCCTGAGTAGGTGGGATTACAGGCGCCCACCACCATGCCTGGCTAATTGTTTTGTATTTTTAGTAGAGACAGGGTTTCACCACGTTGGTCAGGCTGGTCTTGAACTCCTGTCCTCAAGTGATCCGCCCGCCTCAGCCTTCCAAAGTGCTGGATTACAAGTGTGAGCCACCGTGCCCGGCCATTACTCTTTCTTTTCACTGTAGACTTAATATTTGTTGTTTTTTATTGCTCTATACAAATTTGGAGATACACTTAACAAGATCTGTTTTTTAAAAAAACTTGCTTACATAAATTTAACGTTAAAAAAAAAAAGCCTAAAACAACAGTTGGATTTTTTTTTTTTTTGAGACGGAATTTCGATCTTGTCAACCAGGCTGGAGTGCAATGGCGCAATCTCAGCTCACTGCAACCTCTGCCTCCTGGGTTCAAAATATTCTCCTGCCTTGGCCTCCCAAGTAGCTGGGATTACAGGCGTGAGACACCACTATGGGCTAATTTTTGTATTTTTAGTAGAGATGGGGGTTTCACCATGTTGGTCAGGCTGGTCTCGAACTCCTGACCTCAGGTGATCCACCTGCTTCGGCCTCCCAAAGTGCTGGAATTACCGGCATGAGCCACCACACCTAGCTGCCAGTTGGATTTTTATTGGTAACATTGAATTATAAATTATTCTAGGGACAATTGATATCATTATAATATTAAGTCATCCCATTTGAGAGCATGGACTATTGATTTATATATTCAGGCTGTCATCTATGTATTTTATGAGAATTAAAAAACATTTTTCCACTAAAGTTTTAAGAATTCTTGGTTAATTCCTAGATACCTTATAACTTTGTCACTGATGTAAATTGCATGTTATTTATTTATTTATTTATTTTTGAGACATAGTCTCACCGTGTTGCCCAGGCTGGAGTGCAATGGTGAGATCTCAGCTCACTGCAACCTCCGCCTCCCAGGTTCAAGCGATTCTTCTGCCTCACTGTCCTGAGTATCTGGGACTACAGGCGTGTGCCACCACGCCCTGCTAATTTTTTGTATTTTTAGCAGAAATGGGCTTTCACCATGTTGGACAGGCTGGTCTCTGACTCCTGACCCCATGATCCACCTGCCTCGGCCTCCCAAAGTGCTGGGATTACAAGCGTGAGCCACCGTGCTTGGCCATTGAATGTTATTTTTGTTATTCTTTTTCTTTCTTCTTCTTCTTCTTCTTTTTTTTTTTTTTTGAGACAGAGTGCCACTCTGTTGTCCTGGCTGGAGTAGAGTGGTGCAATTATGGCTCACTGCAGCCTCCTGGGCTCAAGAAATCCTCCCACTTCAGCCTCTCAAGTAGCTGGGACTACAGGCGCACACCACCATGCCCAGCAAATTTTTGTATCTTTTTGTAGAGACAGGGCTTCCCTATATTGCCCAGGCTGGCCTGAAACCCTTGGGCTCAAGTACCCACCTACCTTGGCCTCCCAGAATGCTGAGATTACAGGCGTGAGCCACTGTGCCTGGCCTTTTTTTTTCTTTTTCTTTTTTCTTTTCTTTTCTTTTCTTTTTTTTTTTAACATTTTCTGATTGGTAATTTCTGGTGCAGTAAAATACTAGTAGTTTTTGTTTGTTTGTTTGTTTTATAGGTTAATTTTGTACACAACAACCTTTATGAATACCCTTGCTTGTTCTACTAGTCTTTCTGTTGATTTTATTTTATTTATTTGTTTATTTTAAGACGGAGTTTCGATTGTTACCCAGGCTGGAGTGCAACGGCGCTATCTCGGCTCACTGCAACCTCCGCCTCCGGGCCTCAAGCAATTCTCCTGTCTCAACCTCCCGAGTAGCTGGGATTACAGGCATGCACCACCATTCCCGGCTAATTTTGTATTTTTAGTAGAGGCGGGGTTTCTCCACGTTGGTTAGCCTGGTCCCGAACTCCAGACCTCAGGTGATCCACCTGCCTTGGCCTCCCAAAGTGCTGGGATTACAGGTGTGAGCCACTGCGACCGGCGATTTTATTGGTTTTTCTAAGTAGATGATTATATTACCTGCAAATAATCAGGGTTTTTGTTTTGTTTTGTTTTCTTGTTTTGAGACGGAGTCTGGCTCTGTTGCCCAGGCTGGAGTGCAGTGGCACGATCTTGGCTCACTGTGACCTCCACCTCCCAGATTCAAGCGATTCTTCTGCCTCAGCCTCCCAAGTAGCTGGAATTACAGGTGTGAGCTAGCACATGCAGCTAATTTTTGTATTTTTGGTAGAGATGGGTTTCACCATGTTGGCCAGGCTGGTCTCGAACTCTTCACCTGTTGATCCACCCACCTCGGCCTCCCAAAGTGCTGGGATTACAGCCGTGAGCTACCGCGCCCGGCAAATAATCAGTTTTATTTTTTCCTTTCGTATCTTTGCACTACTTGTTTCTTTTATTTCCTTGTAGTATTGCTCAAGACCTCTAGGATTTTGTAAAATAAGTGTGGTAACAGTGGACATCTTTGTTTTTTTCCCCAAGAATAAAAGAGATGAGTCCAACATTATTCATTAAGTATAAGAATTTCCTATCTAACCTTTGTTTGCTAAAGGTTTTTATGATAAGCAGGTATTGAACCTCATCAAATGCCCTTTAAAATTCTCATTTGAGATAGCCATATGATTTTTTTTCCTTTTTTTTTTTTTTGAGACGGAGTTTTGCTCTTGTTGCCCAGGCTGGAGTACAATGGTGCAATCTCGGCTCACCACAACCTCTGCCTCCCAGGTTCAAGCGATTCTCCTGCCTCAGCCTCCCGAGTAGCCGGGATTATAGGTGCCCACCACCACGCCCGGCTAATTTTGTATTTTAAGTAGAGACGGAGTTTCTCCATGTTGGTCAGGCTAGTCTCGAACTCGCAACCTCAGGTGATCCACCCGCCTCAGCCTCCCAAAGTGCTGGGATTACAGGCGTGAGCCACTGCGCCCAGCCTCTATTTTTTTTTTTTTTTTTTTTTGAGATGAAGTCTCGCTCTGTCACCCAGGCTGGAGTGCAGTGGTGCGATCTCGGCTCACTGCAACCTCCGCCTCCTGGGTTCAAGTGATTCTCCTGCCTCAGCCTCCCGAGTAGCTGGAACTACTAGTGTGTGCCAACACGCCTGGCTAATTTTTTGTATTTTTAGTAGAGACAGGATTTTGCTGTGTTAACCAGGATAGTCTCGATCTCCTCACCTCGTGATTCACCCACCTCGGCCTCCCAAAATGCTGGGATTACAGGCAAGAGCCACCGCATCCTGCTGATTTTTTTCCTTTAGTCTATTATTGTGATAAACCACATTGATGGATTTTGTAATTTTTTCTTTTTTTTGAGACAGAATCTTGCTGTGTTACCCAGGCTGGAGTGCAGTGGCATGATCTAGCCTCATTGCAACCTCTGCCTCCTAGGTTCAAGCGATTCTCCCGCCTCAGCCTCCTGAGTAGCTGGGACTACAGGCGTGCGTCACCACACCCGGCTAATTTTTTTGTATTTTTTTTTTTTTTTGAGACAGATTCTCGCTCTGTCACCCAGGCTGGAGTGCCGTGGCATGATCTCGGCTCACTGCAAGCTCCGCCTCCCGGGTTCGTGCCATTCTCCTGCCTCAGCCTCCCAAGTAGCTGGGACTACAGGTGCCTGCCACCGCGCCCGGCTAATTTTTTGTATTTTTAGTAGAGACGGGGTTTCACCATGTTAGCCAGGATGGTCTCGATCTCCTGACCTCGTGATCCACCCACCTCAGCCTCCCAAAGAATTTTTTTGTATTTTTAGTAGAGACGGGGTTTCACCATGTTGGTCAGGCTGGTTTTGAACTCCTGGCCTCATGTGTTCTGCCCATCTCAGCCTCCCAAAGTGCTGGGATTACAGGCGTAAGCCACCGCTTCCAGCCTAGTTAAGTAATATTTTATTAAAGACTTCTGTGTCTATATTCATAGATTAAATGGGCCTAGAATTCTTTTCTTATATTATTACTAACTGATTTCAGAGGCAAGATTACCCTAGCCTCATAAATGAGTTGGTCACTTTTTCACTTCTTTTCCAAATCTGTATCTCAAATATCTACTCCAGAATGAACCATAGTAGACCACTTAGCCCAGCCTCTTGTTTCCCAAGTAGGCAAAAACATTATCACTCCTATTTTAAAGATGAGATAGTCGAAGCCCAAGAATGAAGTCCTGAAGGAAGCAGAATTAGAACCTGGAATATCATTTGCCTTGAAATAATCAGTAACCAATTACTTTATAAATAATGCTGCAAGTTTCCAAAGTTAATTTATGTATCAGTTTTTAGAACTCAGAACAATTTCCTGTAGAAACAAACAAGTTGGTTGGGTTTTCATACGAGGTTGATTAACTCATAATGTCATCATCCACCACCCCATACTGTAGTGTACATCCCCTAATATCACCCAATCTTCCAACCAGACTTGACCTTTCAAATTTTTCCACGGTTACCTCTGGACTCAATGTCTGTCATCATTCTTATAAGCCCATCCTCTTCTCTGAACCTCCCTTTCCTAGACCTTACTGAAACCTGGCGTCTGGAGGGCACACTTCCCTGGCAGCCCTCTTTACAGAGGCTTGTTCATCGGTCTTTGCATACTGCAGAGTAGAGTTGGGTGGATTGCTCCCTAGTGCTGCGTCTAGACTCTTTTTTTTTTTTTTTGTTTGAGACAGCCTGCTCTGTCGCCCAGGCTGGAGTGCAGTGGCGCAATCTCTGCTCACTGCAACCTCCTCCTCCCGGGCTCATGCCATTCTCCTGCCTCAGCCTCCTGAGTAGCTGGGACTACAGGCGCCTGCCACGACGCCTGGCTAATTTTTTTTGTATTTTAGTAGAAACGGGGTTTCACCATGTTAGCCAGGACGGTCTCGATCTCCTGACCTCATGATCCACCCGCCTCAGCCTCTCAAAGTGCTGGGAGGGATTACAGGCGTGAGCCACCGTGCCCGGCCTTTTTTTTTTTTTTTCTTGAGATGGAGTCTCACTCTGTTACCCTGGCTGGAGTGCAGTGGCGCGATCTTGGCTCGCTGCAACCTCCGCCTCCCGGGTTCAAACGATTTTCCTGCCTCAGCCTCCTGAGTAGCTGGGATTACAGGCGTGCATGACCACGCCCGGCTAATTTTTGTATTTTTAGTAGAGATGGGGTTTCACCATGTAGGTCAGGCTGCTCTCGAACTCCTGAACTCGTGATCTGCCCCCCTCGGCCTCCCAAAGTGCTGGGATTATAGGCATGAGCCACCATGCCTGGCCTTAGACCCTTATTCTTTCTTCATCTTTCAAAATCCTCTGCTTTTTGAAATTAACGTCTCAAACTATATGATCTGCTGCCTCTACTTGTTGCAAGGGTCTTCAAACCCGGTTGTTCACCCACATTCACTGATAATGTTAGCACCTGGCTCATCTTCTTCCTCTTTTCACCTATTTTTTCCTAACATCATCGTTGATAACTTCATAATCCATCAGGGCAATCCATTGTGGCCTCTCCACTCCTCAGTCTCTTCTCCAGTGATTTTCCTCTTCAGCCCATCCTCAGACCTCTACCCTAGGTTTTGTCATCTCCAAAAACAAACTCTTCCAACTTTTTTTTTTTTTTTGAAATGGAGTCTCGCTCTGTTGCCCAGGCTGGAGTGCAGTGGCGCCGTCTCGGCTCATTGCAACCTCTGCCTCCCGGGTTCAAGCGATTCTCAGCCTCCTGAGTAGCGGAGATTACAGGCATCCACCACCATGCCTGGCTAATTTTTGTATTTTTGGCAGAGATGGGGTTTCACCATGTTGCCCAGGCTGGTCTCGAATT
Organism: Homo sapiens; assembly: GCF_000001405.40. Classification (NCBI taxonomy): domain Eukaryota; kingdom Metazoa; phylum Chordata; class Mammalia; order Primates; family Hominidae; genus Homo; species Homo sapiens. Next base: position 7,271,269 of record NC_000017.11, on the reverse strand, counting down.
CCTGACCTCAAGCTATCTGTTGGCCTTGGCCTCCCAAAAGGCTGGGATTACAGGCATGAGCTGCCATGCCTAGCAACAATTTTTTTTTTTTGAGACAGAGTCTTGCTGTATTGCCCAGGCAGGAGTGCAGTGGTGTGACCTCGGCTCATTGCAATTTCTGCTTCCTGGGTTCAAGCAGTTCTCATGGCTCAACCTCCCAAGAAGCTGGGATTATGCCTGGCTATTTTTTTTTTTTTTTTTTTTTGAGACTGAGTCTTGCTCTGTCACCCAAGCTGGAGTGCAGTGGCGTGATCTCGGCTCTCTGCAGGCCTCCGAGGCCTGGCCAATTTTTGTATTTTTAGGAGAGACGGGGTTTTGCCTTGTTAACGGGTCAGGCTGGTCTCAAGCCTCAAGCAATCTGCTTGGCCTCAAGTGATCTGCTTGCTTCAACCTCCCAATGTGCTAAGATTATAGGCGTGAGCCACTGTGCCCGGCCTTCTTCCAATTTTTTGAATTCAAACCAGGAATGTTTCATAATCACCTCTAGCCTTCTAGTTCATTTACTCACATATCCTCACTTTTTTTTTTCCTTTTTAAAAATTTTATTTATTTATTTATTTATTGAGACAGAGTTTCACTCTGTTGCCCAGTGGCGCAATCTCGGCTCACTGCAAGCTCCGCCTCCCGGGTTCACGCCATTCTCCTGCCTCAGCCTCCTGAGTAGCTGGGACTACAGGAGTGTGTCACCATGCCTGGCTAATTTTTGTGTTTTTAGTAGAGACAGGGTTTCACCGTGTTAGCCAGGATGGTCTCGATCTCCTGACCTCGTGATCCGTCCGCCTCGGCCTCCCAAAGTGCTGGGATTACAGGCTTGACCCACCGCACTCGGCCTCTTTTTTTCTTGAGACAGGGTCTCCCTCTGTTGCCCAGGCTGGAGTGCAGTGGAATGATCATGGCTCACTGTAGCCTCGACCTTCCAGGCTTAAGCAATCCTCCCACCGCAGCCTCTCGAGCGAGTAGCTAGGACTACAGGTGCCAGCCACCATGCCTGCCTAACTTTTTGCTGTTGTATTTTTTTTGTAGAGGTGAGGTTTTGCCATATTGCCCAGGCTGGTCTCCAACTCCTGAGCTCAAGTGATCCACTTACCTCAGCCTCCCAAAGTGTTGGGATTACAGACATGAGCCACCATGTCCAGACTCATGTATCCTCACTTCTTTCACCTCATGGGGACCTCTAAACTTTTGATCCTACCAGTTTTTCACTATCCACCAACTCTTTTGTGTTTTCTCTCCCTCTTACCCAATTTATATCTATAATCTAACACAATCACTCTCGTGAAAATATTATAAAATTCCTTCTTCCTCTTTTTAGTAACACCCAACCCTAGTTAATTTCAACTATTCATGTACTTGGATCCCATTTTTTCTCTTTTTTTGAAGGAGTTTCAGTCTTGTTGCCCAGGCTACAGTACAATGGTGCGACCTCGGCTCACTGCAACCTCCACCTCCTAGGTTCAAGTGATTCTCCTGCTTCAGCCTCCCGAGTAGCTGGGATTACAGGCACATGCCACCACACCTGATTAGTTTTGTATTTTTAGTACAGACCGGGTTTCTCCATGTTGGTCAGGCTGGTCTCGAATTCCTGACCTCAGGTGATCCGCCCACCTCAGCCTCCCAAAGTGCTGGGATTATAGGTGTGAACCACCACGCCCGGCCCCTACTTGGATCCTTTTATCCAACTAGTTACTTCAAGGCTATTAGAGGAAAAAAATCCATGATGATGCTCACCAGTCACGCTTTACTGGGACCCATTTTACTCCTCTCCTCCCTGGGACATTTGGCAACGTCTGGAGACATTTTTTGTCACACTTAGGTACAGGGGAGGGTACATCTAATTGATAGAAGTCAGAGATGCTCCTAAATATCCTATAATGCATGGGACAACAAAAAATTATCTAGCCCAAGAGATAGCAGGGGAGAAAATGTCAACAGTGTCAAGGTTGAGAAATTCTGCTTTAAATTAATTACTGTGAGTCTCAAAGGGGCAATCAACAGCAGGCCTTTGCCCTTTGCCCTTGCTGTTCCTTCTGCCTATAATATGGTTCCCTCGTGGCTTACTATTATTATTTTTTGTTTGTTTGAGATGGAGTTTTACTCTTGTTGCCCAGGCTGGAGTGCAGTGGCATGATCTTGGCACACTGCAACCTCTGCCTCCCAGTTTCAAGCGATTCTCCTGTCTCAGCCTCCCGAGTAGCTGGGATTACAGGCACACACCATCATGCTCGGCTAATTTTTAAAAATATTTTTAGTAGAGACGGGTTTTCACCATGTTGGCCAGGCTGGTCTTGAACTCCTGACCTCGGGTGACCCACCTGCCTCAGCCTCCCAAAGTGCTGGGATTACAAGCATGAGCCATTGTGCCTGGCCACTGGCATATTATTTAGCAGTCATTTCCTCAAAAAGTTCTCTCTAACCTCATCCTAGAGTAGATTCGACCTCATCAGATTACACTGCTTTATTGCTTTCAAAACATGCACCGTTTTGTTTATGTCTTTATTGTCTGCTTCTTCCTTCTAGAAAATAAGTAGCATGAGTTCAGTATCCTTATCCAGTTTGCTTCCTGCTGTATCTCCAGGGTCAACTATAGTGCCTGGTCTTTTTTTTTTTTTTCAGACGAAGTCTCACTCTTGTCCCTCAGGCTGGAGTGCAATGACGCGATCTCGGCTCATTGCAACCTCCGCCTCCTGGATTCAAGCAATTCTCCTGCTTCAGCCTCCCGAGTAGCTGGGATTACAGGCACCTGCCACCACACCCAGCTAATTTTTGTATTTTAAGTAGAGACGGGGTTTCACCATGTTGGCCAGGCTGGTCTCGAACTCCTGACCTCAGGCGATCCACCCACCTCGGCCTCCCAAAGTGCTGGAATTACAGGTGTGAGCCACTGCACCCAGCCTTTCTTTTTTTTTTTTTTTAAATTATTGAGACAGCCTGTTGCCCAGGCTGGAGTGCAATGGCGCGATCTTGGCTCACTGCAACCTCACAACCTCCGCCTCCCGGGTTCAAGGGATTCTCTTGCCTCAGTCTCCAGAGTTGCTGGGACTACAGGCGCGTGCCACCACGCCCGGCTAATTTTTTGTACCTTTGGTAGAGACGGGGTTTCACCATGTTGGCCAGGCTGGTCTCAAACTCCTGACCTCGTGATCCCCCCGCCTCAGCCTCCCAAAGTGCTGGGATTACAGGCATGAGCCAACATGCTTGGTCTCCCCCCCTTTTTTTTTTTTGAGACAGAGTCTTGCTCTGTTGCCCAGGCTGAAGTACAGTGATGCAGTCTCGGCTCACTGCAACCTCTGCCTCCCAGGTTAAAGCGATTCTCCTGCTTCAGCCTCCCGAGTAGCTGGGATTACAGGCCCCTGCCACCACACCCAGCTAATTTTTTGTATTTCTAGTAGAGATGGGGTTTCACCATGTTGGCTAGACTGGTCTCGAACTCCTGACCTCGTGATCCTCCTGCCTCTGCCTCCCAAAGGGCTGCGATTACAGGCATAAGCCACCACACCTGGCCGCACCATTTTTTTTTTTTAAGAGACAGGATCTCCCTCTGTTGCCCAGACTGGAGTGCAGTGGCATGATCATAGCTCACTGCAGCCTCGAACTTATGGGCTTAAGTGATCTTCTCACCTCAGCTTCCTGAGTAGCTGGGACTACAGACATAACCACTGTGCCTGGCCATGTCTGGCACATTATAGACACTTAGAAAATATTTGTTGAGGGCTGGGTGTGGTGGCTCGCACCTGTAATCCTAGAATTTTGGGAGGCCAAGGTGGGCGGATCACCTGAGGTCAGGAGTTCGAGACTAGCCTGGCCAACATGGTGAAACCCCATCTCTACCAAAAATATTTAAAAAATTAGCTGGGCATGGTGGTCCGTGCCTGTAACCCTAGCTACTTGGGAAGCTGAGGCACAAGAATCGCTTGAACCTGAGAGGCAGAGGTTGTGATGAGCCAAGATCGTGCCACTGCCTTCCAGCCTGGGTGACAGAGCAAGACTCTGTCTCAAAAAAAAAAAAGAAAAAAGAAAAAAGAAAATATTTGTTGAACAGTGAATGAAAATATTGTTTATTTGCAATTTATTCATTCATTCCTCAAATATTTATTGGTGATAAAATCCAGACACATCTCTACCCTCTTGGAGCATACAGTATAGTGGGGATATTGACATTGAATAAATAAGTACATAAAGTAAATACAGTATTTTCAAACTGTGATAAGAGCTTTGAAAGCAAAGTACTGGTAGCCGTGAGAGCACTATGCAGATGATCTGACTCAGTTTGGGGTGGGGTGGTCAGGCCAGGCTTTCTAAAAGAAGTGCTATTTGAGGGATAGCTGAAGGATTAGTTGGTTAGCTGGATAGAGGAAGGTGGGTGGGAGTGGATGGAGAAGAGCTTCCAGACCCAGAGAACAGACTGTACAAAGGCAATTCAGTGGGCAGGAACAGAGAAGGCCAGTGTGGCTGAGGCAGTCAGGTCAGCCATGGTGTGACACTTACTGGGAAGAACACGAGTGTCACTGAAAGATTTTATTTTATTTTATTTCTTTTTTTTTTTTTTGAGACAGTGTCTTGCTCTGTCGCCCAGGCTGGAGTGCAGTGGCGCGATCTCAGCTCACTGCAAGCTCCGCCTCCCAGGTTCACGCCATTCTCCTGCCTCAGCCTCACGAGAAGCTGGGACTACAGGTGCCCACCACCACACCCGGCTAATTTTTTTTTTTTTTTTTTGTATTTTTAGTAGAGACGGGGTTTCACCATGGTCTCGATCTCCTGACCTCGTGATCCGCCCGCCTCAGCCTCCCAAAGTGCTGGGATTACAGGCGTGAGCCACCGCACCCGGCCAACTGAAAGATTTTAAACAGGAAATGACAAAGCTCTGAGTGAGTAAGAAGTGGTCACTCCAGAGAATAGAGTTTAAAATGACCAGTGTGGAAGGGAGATTGGTTTGGAGGCAGTTGCTGTGTCCAGTCTTGGGCTGGTGTGGCGTGGCGGCAGTGAGTTTGGAGAGAAGCTGGATATAGTTAAGTGATGACAAATATTTTCTTTTAGAGCTAAAAGGAAAATTTTCAAGAAAATCTCAGCTGGTCTGAAGGTAGTGAATTATTTCAATTGATTGTTCACAGTCAGTTACAGACGGAACTTCTTTTTCCACTCTCACTGCTTTCTCACTACTGCATCTGACTAGTCTTTTAACATAATAAAAAAAAAGGCCGGGGGTGGTGGCTCAGGCCTGTAATCCCAGCACTTTGGGAGGCCGAGGCGGGCGGATCCCGATGTCAGGAGTTTGAGACCAGTCTGACCAACATGGTGAAACCCCATCTCTACTAAAAATACAAAAATTAGCTGGGTGTGGTGGTGCGCGCCTGTAATCCCAGCTATTTAAGAGACCGAGGCAGGAGAATTGCTTGAACCCGGGAGGCGGAGGTTGCAGTGAGCCGAGATCGCACCACTGCACTCCAGCCTAGGCAATAGAGCAAGATTACGTCTCAAAATAAAATAAAATTAAAAAGAAAAAAAGAAAATCTCACCATCGGAAAAAAAAAAAAAAAAAAAAAGGTCGGGGCCAGGCGCAGTGGCTCACACCGGTAATCCCAGCACTTTGGGAGGCCGAAGCAGGTGGATCACCTGAGGTCAGGAGTTCGAGACCGACCTGACCAACATGGTGAAACCCCATCTCAACTAAATACAAAAAGTTAGCCGGGTGTCGTGGTACATGCCTGTAATCCCAGCTACTTGGGAGGTTGAGGTAGGAGAATTGCTTGAACTTGGGAGGCAGAGGTTGCAGTGAGCTGAGATTGTGCCATTGCACTCCAGCCTGGGCGCAGTGGCTCACGCCTGTAATCTCAGCACTTTGGAAGGCCAAGGCGGGCGGATCACAAGGTCAGGAGATCGAGACCATCCTGGCTAACACGGTGAAACCCCGCCTCTACTAAAAAAATACAAAAAAATTAGCCGGGCGTGGTGGCGGGTGCCTGTAGTCTCAGCTACTCAGGAGGCTGAGGCAGGAGAATGGCCTGAACCCGGGAGGCGGAGGTTGCAGTGAGCTGAGATCGTGCCATTGCACTCCAGCCTGGGCGACAGAGAAAGACTCCGTCTCAAAAAAAAAAAAAAAAAAAAAAAAAAAAAAAAAAAAGGAAAGTCAGTTGCGGTAGCTCACTCCTGTAATCCCACCACTTTGGGAGGCTGAGGCAGGGAGATCACTTGAGGTCAGGAATTTGAGCCCAGCCTGGCCAACATGGTGAAACCTCGTTTCTACTAAAAATACAAAAAATTAGCTGGGCGTGGTGGTGCGCGCTTATAATCCCAGCTACTCGGGAGGGTGAGGCAGGAGAATTGCTTGAACCCGGGAGGCAGAGGTTGCAGTGAGCCGAGATCGTGCCACTGCACTCCAGCTTGGGTGACAGAGCGAGACTCTGTTTCAAAAAACAAACAAAGCCAGAACAATGATGACACGTGGCTGTAATTGCAGCTATTTGTTGGGGGGTGGGGGGGCATGCTTTGAGCCCAGGAGTTCAAGGCTGCAGTGAGCTATAATTGTACCACTGCACTCTAGCCTGGGCGACAGAGTGAGACCCGGCCTCTAAGAGTACATTAATCCAGAAAAGTACCATTAATCCAAAAGTACAACAATAAAAACGAATAACAAACAGTTCATGGCTGGGAGCAGTGACTCACGCCTGTAATCCCAGCACTTTGGGAGGTCGAGGTGGGTTGGGATCACCTGAGGTCAGGAATTCGAGATCTGCCTGGCTAACACGGTGAAACCCCGTCTCTACTAAAAATACAAAAATTAGCTGGGCGTGGTGGTGGGCACCTATACTCCCAGCTACTTGGGAGGCTGAGGCAGGAGAATCACTTGAACCCAGGAGGTGGAGGTTGTAGTGAGCCGAGATCATGCCATTGCACTCCAGTCTGGGCGACAAGAGCAAAAACTCTGTTTCAAAAAAAAAAAAAAAGAGTTCATGAAAGTCTTCATTTTATACAAAAGCAGGTCAATTAGCTTAGCATAAGGGGGACTTTAATATGTTTAGCGAATAAACGAAGGAAAGACAGAGAAATGTTTGAGAGGGCAAAACAAAGATAAAAAACGTGAGAGAGTTGAGGTAAAAAATGGAGAGAGGAAAATGAAATGAGAGAGAGCCAGAATAAGCAGGGTATGTGAGAATCTGAGAAGTATGAGGAGGTTGGAGGGTAGTAGGAAGATTGGGAGGAAACTGGGCAGGGTGGGTGGGGAAAGTGCAGTGTGCACCTAAGAAGAGGAAAGAAAGATTAATTGCTGATGCTGGGTTCCAAGGAGACTGGAGACAAGGCGCAAAGGTAAACGAAAAGACAAGGAGTGGGCTGGGTGCGGTGGCTCACGCCTGTAATCCTGCACTTTAGGAGGTGGGGGCAGGGGGATTGCTTCAGTTCAAGTGTTCAAGACCAGCCTGAGCAACATGGTGAAAACCCTTCTCTACCAAAAATACAAAAACTTTAGCTGGGCGTGGTGGTGTGCACCCGCGGTCCCAGCTACTGGGGACGCTGAGGCGGGGTGATCGCTTGAGCCCAGGAGGCGAGGCTGCAGTGAGCCGAGATTGCACCTCTGCACTCCAGCCTGGGTAACACAGACTTCCTCCTCTCAAACAACAACAAAAAAAAGACAAGGAGTGAAACAGGAAGCTCCAAAGCAGGAAAGGCAGGAAGGGGAGATGACCAAAGATGAAGGAGGAAGGAGCAAAAGGCTGGAAGGGGTGCCGGGAGGAAGGAGGGAGCAATGCTTTGGGGAGAGATAGCAGGACTGCAGGGTGAGGGACCATGGACGACCACCTTAGAGAGCCAGATTATAGGGAGGACGGAACAGTGAGGCGTGACAGAGTGCACAGCAATTGGCAGTCCAAGCCCAGGCCCGGGAGGGAAAGAGAAACGGGCGAGTGTGGGGGAGGGGTGGGAAAGGTGGAGGATAGGTCTGAAAAGACTCTAAGGGAGGGGAACGATGGGTGTGGCCAAGACTCTGACCTAGCCCTCACCCTGCTCCCCACCCTCGGCCGGCTTTAGGTCCCAGTGGTTTCTTCCTCCAGTTAGGAGCCTTGATGCCGGAGGGGACAGTGGTAGGTGGGGAGGTTGAGTGCAAAGGGTTCAGGCTGTAAGTCATGTTGGGTTGGAATGGGGGCACAGGAAGGTGGGGCTGTTGGGGAGCCACGCTAAGCCGGGTGTCTGTAGCAGAGCCAGAGAACCGGGACACTGAAGAGGGTGCTGAAGGGGGCGACTCTCAGGGATCGAGCCAGGGCCCCCGAAGGTGGGATCGACCAGGGTAGGAGACAGGAAAAAAAAGGAGAGCAGCGGGTGGGGGCGAAAGCAGGGCCGAGGAGAGAGCACTTTGGACAGAACCCGGCGGGGAAAGGGCGGCGCCGAGGCTTGTCAGGGGCGCCCCGCAGCGTCCCAGGCGCACCTGTTGGGAAGAAAGGAAGGGGCTTCCCGGTGTTCGAGGGAAATCCAGTCCGGAGGGGCTGACTCGGAGCTTGGGACTCCTGGGGAGCCACCGCCTCCTCCCCAGCGGCGGTCAAAACCGGGCAAGCGAAGGGGCGTGACCCTGGTGCTCAGGTTTCTTCCTCCTCACCTGGGCAAGGAGGGGTGGGGGCCACGACTTCCGGTTCAGGTGAGTGTCCCTTCGGTGACGTCAGGTCATCCTCGGCCGCCCCTCCGGTCCCGCCTCCCCCTCCCGCGCTCCCGGGGCGCGCGGGCCGCGCCCCCGACGCCCTACATATACTCAGGTGCGCCCCACCTGTCCGCCCGCACCTGCTGGCTCACCTCCGAGCCACCTCTGCTGCGCACCGCAGCCTCGGACCTACAGCCCAGGATACTTTGGGACTTGCCGGCGCTCAGAAACGCGCCCAGACGGCCCCTCCACCTTTTGTTTGCCTAGGGTCGCCGAGAGCGCCCGGAGGGAACCGCCTGGCCTTCGGGGACCACCAATTTTGTCTGGAACCACCCTCCCGGCGTATCCTACTCCCTGTGCCGCGAGGCCATCGCTTCACTGGAGGGGTCGATTTGTGTGTAGTTTGGTGACAAGATTTGCATTCACCTGGCCCAAACCCTTTTTGTCTCTTTGGGTGACCGGAAAACTCCACCTCAAGTTTTCTTTTGTGGGGCTGCCCCCCAAGTGTCGTTTGTTTTACTGTAGGGTCTCCCCGCCCGGCGCCCCCAGTGTTTTCTGAGGGCGGAAATGGCCAATTCGGGCCTGCAGTTGCTGGGCTTCTCCATGGCCCTGCTGGGCTGGGTGGGTCTGGTGGCCTGCACCGCCATCCCGCAGTGGCAGATGAGCTCCTATGCGGGTGACAACATCATCACGGCCCAGGCCATGTACAAGGGGCTGTGGATGGACTGCGTCACGCAGAGCACGGGGATGATGAGCTGCAAAATGTACGACTCGGTGCTCGCCCTGTCCGGTAAGGCCGCGGGACCGACGGGGCGGACGCGCCCTTGACCGAGGTGGCGGGGTGGCGCGCGTGGGAGAGCCGAGGCCCCACGGCTGGGGGCCCTGGGTTGCCGGGGAGCTGCAGGGCGAGGAAGTGGTCGGCTGGGGGCGGCGGGGCTGGGCGGGAGCGGGCCGGGGTTCCGGCGGCTGCACGTGGGCGCGCACCTCGGTCGCCCACGTTCCTCTTCCTCCCCCAACCCAGCCTCGTCCCCGGCTCGGAGCAGCGGTGCTTAGGCCGGGGCCATCCCCTCCTCCATTCCCGGGCAGGCCATGGCCTCCGTCATCTCCCGTCCTTTTCTCAGACAGAAACGGCCCCGGGGCGCGGGGCACGGGGCGCGCCGAGGGCCGAAGGGCGGTGCGGCTGGTCAGAGTGGGCCGCCGCCTGCTGCCTCTAATCTTATCGGCCGATTAGCCGAAGCCACAAACCCGGTGGCCTCGATAGCGGGCTCAGAGCAGGGACGCCGGCTGGCATGTGCGCCGCGCGGGGCTTCGGACCACCGTCTCGGCTTCTCTTCGCTGCACCCTTTCACCCTTCCCCCTATCCAGGGCAGTTTCACCGAAACCCCGGCGCCCCGGGCGGATCCTTGAGCGGAGAGGGCGGGGCGGGAGCAGGAAGGCCGCGCTGTCGGGAGGGGCGGGGACCTGCCCGCTTGGCCCAGGTCTTGGACACCTGGGCGCCCCTGGCCCTCGGCAGAACACGGCGCCGGACAGAAGAGGTCCAGCGGTTAGTGGGCGCGGCCGGCGGCACGAAGGCTGGAGCCGCCTGCATTTCCAGCAATGACGGCGCCCTTTCCCCTCGCCCGCAGCGGCCTTGCAGGCCACTCGAGCCCTAATGGTGGTCTCCCTGGTGCTGGGCTTCCTGGCCATGTTTGTGGCCACGATGGGCATGAAGTGCACGCGCTGTGGGGGAGACGACAAAGTGAAGAAGGCCCGTATAGCCATGGGTGGAGGCATAATTTTCATCGTGGCAGGTGAGCCCCCGGGTTCTCCCATCTGGGAGGAGCAAGGCTGGGCAAGGCGCCCATTTGGGGCCTCACTATACTGAAACCCTCATTCTGTCTCCAGGTCTTGCCGCCTTGGTAGCTTGCTCCTGGTATGGCCATCAGATTGTCACAGACTTTTATAACCCTTTGATCCCTACCAACATTAAGTAAGTCTGGGAACCCTGCCTCCTAAGGGGACAGGTCTGGGGTCCTGGAATAGGGAGGAGGGCAGAGGCACGCCAGGGTTTCTAACCACCCCCTTCTCTTCACAGGTATGAGTTTGGCCCTGCCATCTTTATTGGCTGGGCAGGGTCTGCCCTAGTCATCCTGGGAGGTGCACTGCTCTCCTGTTCCTGTCCTGGGAATGAGAGCAAGGCTGGGTACCGTGTACCCCGCTCTTACCCTAAGTCCAACTCTTCCAAGGAGTATGTGTGACCTGGGATCTCCTTGCCCCAGCCTGACAGGCTATGGGAGTGTCTAGATGCCTGAAAGGGCCTGGGGCTGAGCTCAGCCTGTGGGCAGGGTGCCGGACAAAGGCCTCCTGGTCACTCTGTCCCTGCACTCCATGTATAGTCCTCTTGGGTTGGGGGTGGGGGGGTGCCGTTGGTGGGAGAGACAAAAAGAGGGAGAGTGTGCTTTTTGTACAGTAATAAAAAATAAGTATTGGGAAGCAGGCTTTTTTCCCTTCAGGGCCTCTGCTTTCCTCCCGTCCAGATCCTTGCAGGGAGCTTGGAACCTTAGTGCACCTACTTCAGTTCAGAACACTTAGCACCCCACTGACTCCACTGACAATTGACTAAAAGATGCAGGTGCTCGTATCTCGACATTCATTCCCACCCCCCTCTTATTTAAATAGCTACCAAAGTACTTCTTTTTTAATAAAAAAATAAAGATTTTTATTAGGTACGGGGGTGTTCTACTCTCTCACATTACCCCATGTCTTCATCCTACCTTCTGTCCTGATGAGACGCTGCTTCCTGGCTCACAAGGCGGGGCTCCATAGACAAGGGGAACCAAGGTGGGGCAGGGACAGGGTAAGGCTAACACAAACAATAGAAAGATGGTTCTGGGCCCAAAGTCTTCCCGCGCCCCCTCCAATTACAATCTAATCAAATCTGGCCAGTCAAATATCCAGGTCGTCATCTGGGTCTTCTTGGTCCAGGTCATCATAAGCATCTGGCTCATAGAAGATGTGGCTGGTAGCCTGCCCTGGCCTAGGCCGCAGGAGAGCCTGCTGTCTGAGAAGGGAAGATTTGGTGCTGGTGAGGGTAGCTAACAGGTTGGGTCTGGATACTTTCTTCCAGGTGACTGTGACTCTCATTCAGGCAACCTGTTAGGCCTCCATGTCATTTTATTGGTCCAAGTCCCTTTCTCTGACCTCCATGTTAGAGCTGAAGCACCATTTGGTACTGGGATAGATACCCTTGTACTGCTCTCCTAATAAAACCGTAAGTTCCTAGCAGCTTGAGGGCAAGGATCTTGTAGTCTTGCGTCATCCGCCCACATACTGGGCACAGAACAGCAAGCGTGTACTAAGCCCTTGTTAACCAGCCTCTGCCACGCCCATATAGCCTTCTGTCCTCCTAGCACCACTGCCTAGGGATAGGGCCACCTCCCAAGGGTCTGGTCTGGCTCAGCCCAGGCCCAGGGTGCTCTGGGGACAACTGGAGCTGTGACCCAAGGGTATAAGGGAGAGAAAAGAGACATAAAGGTCCTCTGCCATTATAGGGGGAATGGGTGGATCAAGAACTTGGACTTGTCTCTGGAGGTGGACTTCAGTCCCTATAAAGTCAGGTTAATCAATAACCTGTTGCCCCAACCTCTCCATGGCCCAGATGCTGGGATCTACTCAGGGATCCACGTACCCAGGTCCCAACCTTACTTTTCAGAACTGAACTGGAAGGGCAGGATCAGGCTATCTCTGGCTTCTCTCTCTTTCTTGGACAGGTGAAGGTTAAAGGTCAAATGAGTTGTGGGATCCACCTGTAGGTACAAAGGATGCTGCCACTCTGCCCCATCCCTAGAATCCCTGACCCCACCCCCAACCTCTGCAGCTTTTATTTTCTCTCCCGTGACCAGATACTAAACTACATTTCCTTGTTCTGGCCTTGGCATTCTTAGATACCGGGGGTATATGAGGATCGGAGTAGGGCTGGGACTCTACAGAGGGCCCCTCTTGGAGATCCAGGCTGAAGTCCGGAAGGATGGAGAACCACTGAGTCTGGAGAGAAAAAAGAAAAGAGTTTTTTTCATCTTACTGAAGAAACTAGACAGACTCCAGGACCTCACATCCTCAGCCCCCAATCACCTATTTAACTGACTGCTTTCAGCTCCTGCCCTCAACTTTTTTTTTTTTTTTTGAGACAGGGTCTGGCTTTGTTGCCCAGGCTGGAGTACAGTGGCGTGATCTTAGCTCACTGCAACCTCCGCCTCCCAGGTTCAAGTGATTCTCCTGCCTCAGCCTCCCGAGTAGCTGGGATTACAGGCACGTGCTACCACACCCAGCTAATTTTTGTCTTTTTAGTAGAGATGGGGTTTTGCTATATTGGCCAGGCTGGTCTCAAACCACTAACCTCAGGTGATCTGCCCACTTCGGCCTCCCAAAATGCTGGGATTACAGGTGTAAGCCACTGCGCCCAGCCTCTATTTTATTTTCAAAAGTGAAAGCAAGTTGATTAAGGAAGTAAAGGAATAAAAGGATGGCGACTCCTTAGGCAGAGCAGCCCACTTACTCCTTTTTTGAGACGGAGTCTCACTCTGTTGCCCAGGCTGGAGTGTAGTGGCATGATCTCGGCTCACCTCAACCTCCGCCTCCCAGGTTCAAGTGATTCTCCCACCTCAGCCTCCCGAATAGCTGGGACTACAGGCACCCACCACTATGCCCAGCTAATTTTTGTATTTTTAGTAGAGATGAGATTTCACCATGTTAGCCAGGCCGGTCTCGAACTCCTGACCTCACAATCTGCCCACCTCGGCCCCCCAAAGTGCTGGGATTATGGGCCTGAGCCACCTCGCCTGGGCCCCACTTACACTTTATAACCTTGGTAAGTGACTTAAATTTAAACCTCCTTGGGCCGGGTGCAGTGGATCACACCTGTAATCCCAGCACTTTGGGAGACCAAGGCCAGAGGATGGCTTGAGCCTAGTTATTCAAGACCAGCCTGGGCAACAGGGTGAGATCTCATCTGTATAAAAAACTAAAAAGCTGGCTGGATGTGGTGCTACATGCCTGTGCTCCCACCTCCAGCTACACCAGAGGCTGAGGCAGGAGGATCACTTGAACATGGGAGGTCAAAGCTGCCGTAAGTTATGATTGCACCACAGCACTCCAGCCTGGGCAACAGTGAGACCTTGTCCAATAAAAAAAAAAAAAAAAACTCCAAGGGAATAAAACCCTCCCTGGACTGGCTTTCCAGCCTGAAAAATGGTGATAATAAAACAATCTACCTTAACCATAGCTGAGAGGATTAAATGAAGTGAGTGATAGAAAACAGAGAAATACCTAAATCAGCTTTTTTTAAAAAAAGGTCTCACTGAGGGCTGGGCACAGTGGCTCACGTCTGTAATCCTAGCACTTTGGGAGGCTGAGGTGGAAGGATCACTTGAGCCCAGAAGTTTGAGACCACCCTGACCAACACAGTGAAACCCCATCTCTAAAAAAGTTTGTTTTTAAAGTCTCCTTGAAACATCAGCATTTTCATTGTTCTTCCCATCGTGCCACCCCTTTCTCTGTCCCCCGTTTCCAGTCCTTCTCTGTTGGTTCTTCTGACCTGGTCAGTTGGGCGCTGTCGGGGCCTCCGACACAGGATGTGGGCCGAGGCCTGGCCCATGGTACCGCCCAGGGTCACCTCAGTCTGAGCAAGGCTGCTGAGAGCTCCCACAGGGCCTGGTCCATGAAGCTCTTCATGTAGCAAGCCCAGCACACTCACTTTCCCCACTGAGGAGCTGTCACCTAGAGGAGGACAAGAAATGTAGGATAGTAGGGAGCATTCAGGTTGGTGGCCTGGGAGCTAACAGTGAAGAAGAGAGAGCCTCACAATTCCATCACAGTGCTGCCAAAATCCTGACGTCCCTTGGCCAATCTCACTACCGTGCTCTGAGCCTCCTCCAGCCCACACCTTAATCTCCTCTATCATCCCAATGTAAAGCTGATCAAGGCACCGCTCTAACTTCTATTCTTCAGCAGCTCCTGCCTTCAGGATGGAACGAACGCTTCCAGCAGGTGGTGTCCACTTACTTTCCAGCCTCATCTCTTACACACGGAAGTACTTGTAGTTTCTGGAACTTCCCAAGATCTCAGTCAGTGCCTTCAATTCTCTGCCTCCCTTTTTGGGAGCATTTAGAGAGTGTCAGGTACTATGCTAAACGCTTTAACACAATGTTTGAATCCTTACAAAGGTCAGCGTTTTTAGGTCAAACTGTATGAAATCACTGACATTTAACAATTTTTTTTTCTTTTCTTTTTCGAGATGGAGTCTTGCTCTGTCGCCCAGGCTAGAGTGCAGTGGCGCAATCTTGGCTTACTGCAACCCCTGCTACGGGCTCAACAATACTGCCTCAGTCTCCTGAGTAGCTGGGACTACAGGCGCGTGCCACCACGCCTGGCTAATTTTTGTATTTGGTAGAGACGGGGTTTCAGCATCTTGGCCAGGCTGGTCTTGAACTCCTGACCTCGTGATCTACCTGTCTTGGCCTCCCAAAATGCTGGGATTACAGGCATGAGCCTCTGCGCCCGGACTGTTTTTATTTTTTTGAGATGACGTCTTTCTCTGTCACCCAGGCTGCAGTACGGTGGCGTGATCTCAGCTCACTGCAACCTCTGCCTCCTGGGTTCAAGTGATTCTCCTGCCTCAGCCTCCCGAGTAGCTGGGATTACAGGCGTGCACCACCACACCCAGCTAATTTTTTGTATTTTTAGTAGAGACAGGGTTTCACCATGTTGGCCAGGCTGGTCTCCAACTCCAGGTGATCCGCCCGCCTTGGCCTCCCCAAGTGCTGGGATTACAGGCATGAGCCACTGCGCCCAGACAATATTTAACAACTTTTAACCTAAGAAATGGCAATATAGTGGTTCATCCTAATACTTCCCTTGTACCTTCCCCCATATACAGGGGAAAGTGAAGCAATGAGAGATCAAGCACCTTAATACAAAGCTGGGCGTCTGACTCCTAAGTCCATTCGAGTACCCACAGTGCACTTCAAGGCTAGTCTCAGTGCCCCTGCCCGGCCAAATTTGCCTGGATGACCTCTTGCTCTTCAAGAGAGTGCCTTTTTTTTTTTTTGAGATGGAGTCTTGCTCTGTCGCCCAGGCTGGAGTGCAGTGGCCCATCTCAGCTCACTGCAAGCTCCACCTCCCGGGTTCACGCCATTCTCCTGCCTCAGCCTCCCGGGTAGCTGGGACTAGAGGTGCCCGCCACCAAGCCCGGCTAATTTTTTTTTGTATTTTTAGTAGAGACGGGGTTTCACCATGTTAGCCAGGATGGTCTCGATCTCCTGACCTTGTGATCTACCCACCTCGGCCTCCCAAAGTGCTAGGATTACAGGAGTGAGCCACCGCGCCCGGCCAAGAGTGCCCTTCTTTAAGGTGCCCTGTGCATGCCTGTATCATCATGGCCTTTATCAGACCATCTTGTAACTGCCTGTTTACTTATCTCCATCTTTTATGGGACTTCGAGCTCCTGGAAGGCAAGGACCCAGCTACAGTCAGTCTGTATTTTGCCATTATCTAGAATTGTACCTGACACATTGTATATATTTACTATTGATTTGTTAAATGAATGAATGAGTGAAACAAATGAGTAAAAAAATAACTTGGAGAAAAAAAAGCAAATGGTAGATGGCATTAAGGAGAAGTAAAAAAAAAAAAAAACAGACAAAAAAGTCAAAAAAATGAAAAAAGGTCTGACTGGAGAACCCAGATGTTTATTCTAGGGTAGAAAGGAAAAGGGGCACACTCCTTGGCAGAGGGAGATGTATGAGGGGAAACAATGAAGGAGGGGTCTCACCAGGACAAGAGTCCTGATGGCTCACAGCATGCAGGACCTGGCAGAGTGTGGTGCAGGGAAGGCGAAGTAGCAGCCAGCTGAGTGAATCGAGAGCAATGGTGACAGGAACAGGATCTGTCCTCTTGCACATGGCTCTCAAGGCTCCCAGCGGCCCCCCAGGAAAGGCCTCCTCAGTTTTTGACCAGTTGAGAGGGTCTCTGAAGAAGTCATGGTAAACCAGCCTGCAAAGGGAAAATAAGACACAATATAATATTGCCCCTTCCCCCGAGAGGATCACAAAGTTCATCCTCTGATCTTTATGGCTGTTTTCTCAATTTTTATGAATATCCTAAATATTAGTGAAAGATAATTACTGAGAGAGAGCATACAGTGATTGAGAGCACAGACTTTGGTGTCTGACAGCCTGATCTCCAAGCTTGGCTTTGCTACTTGCCCAAGGTCAGCTAACTGATACATTATTTCTAAGAGTTGCCTCATTGGTGAAATGAGATGCCAACCTCTAAGCATTCAGCACAGTGCTTGACACATAGTATATGCCTGATAAATGTTAGTTATCACCATTATCAAATATTTCCTGTGTGTGGCACCTAAAGATTATCACCCTGGGTGAAAAAAGAGAAAGCAGAGGACGTGAGATTTGGTCCTGCCTGTAGAACAGCTTAAAGAAAGTCAAGAATTAAGTCAAGAAGTAACAACTACAGAAAAAACAGCTCAGGAAAGGGAGACTGGCATAGGTAGCAGAACTTTTTTTCCCAGATATCTCTTTTCTATCTTCTCTTGTGGAGTGCCCGCTTTTTTTTTTTTTTTTGAGACAGAGTTTCGCTCGTTGCCCAGGCTGGAGTGCAATGGCGTGATCTCCGCTCACTGCAACCTCTGCCTCCTGGGTTCAAGCGATTCTCCTGCCTCAGCCTCCTGAGTAGCTGGAATTACAGGCATGTGCCACCATGCCCAGGTAATTTTTTGTATTTTTAGTAGAGATGGGGTTTCTCCATGTTGGTCAGGCTGGTCTCGAACTCCAGACCTCAGGTGATCCACCCGCCTCAGCCTCCCAAAGTGCTGGGATTACAGGCGTGAGCCACCGCGCCCAGCCATGGAATGCCATCTGAACATACACCACCGCCTCTATCACAACAATGGCTGATGCAAAATTGGAGGCTCAACAGATAAGATGTAAACTACTATTATCATCCACTGAGTTGCCGGGACTAGGAAGTAGAAAGCATCCTACTAATGGTTCTTAATGTCTCCTGATCAGGCATGCCGCTGGGTTTAGGAACTTCCTTATCTCAATACTTTCTTCTCCCCCATATTAGTCAATAAATCCTGGAAATTCTACCCACTAAAGTCCTTTACATGTGTTCTAAACTTTCCATCTCTACTGCCACTGCCTTAAACCAGGCCTCTATCACTTCCTACCATTATTCCCTAAAATTCATTAGGTCAGGAACAGGTCTCACTCACTGCCGTCTCCAGTATCTTGCACAGCACCTGGTTGATAGTTGGTGCTCGGTACATATGTACCTTAAAGAGTGAAGCCGGATTAACGGATTACTGCAATACCCTTCCCACATGTTCTCCCTATTTCCAGGCTATTTCTCTCTCGACTTCTATGATCTTTGCTTTGGACTCCCCAAATACTCATCACTCCTCTTATTAATTCTTGCCTCCTGAAAGATCCATATCCAATTCTTCAATGAATATTTAAGGAACTGCTACTACATACCAGGTTCTGCGCTTGTTGTAAAGAAATTTCCTTAGCATTATAGGTCTCAAATTTAATCAAATCTCTTCCAACTGGTACTTACCGATTGTTGATATCAGAGTCAAAACCTTCACGAAACTCTTCCTCGCTCACTTCACAGCCCAGGATATGCACTTGCTCCCCACTAAGGCAGAGATGAGAAGGGATTGTCAAAGAGTGGGCACAGGTGCCCTATCCAGGGTAGGCCGGGGAGACACTGTGGGATACTCACCACAGTGCAGATTTCTTGACAAGCGCCTTCAAGAGACTGCGCCCCTCCCACTCCACGGAATCTGCAGAGCGAGGGACGGATAAAGGGTATGAGAGCGCTGGGATTACCGCCTTCGCGAACCCGTCGCGATTTCCACACCTAGCCTGTGACCCCTGGCCCTTCCTGCCCACTTCCGTCCCCTCAGCCAGGCCCGAACCGCACCCCCCGCCCCGCCACCGTGCCTCTGGCTCTCACCCCGAAGCAGCACCAGGCCGCCCAAGGCCAACAGCGAGTCCAACATCTCCAACTCGCGTCCGGTCCCTGCTCTGGCGCCCTCTGATGGCGTCATGACCCAGTGTCCTTCCTCCTCGGGGTGAAACGGGCCGAGCACTCGGGCGTCCTCCCACCATTAAGACCTAACATAGTCTGGAATGAGAGGTGATTATGTTCAATATTCCCAGGGGGGCGCTCACGCGGAGGGCGCCCCTCCCCGAGCCCTGGCGCACAGTCGTACGGACAACGACCCCGTCTACATTTTCACTGTGACCGGGGCGGGAAGAGCAGTTGGGGCAGTTGTCAGTGGGAGGGGGAGGAGGACCCACAAGCCCCCCGCGAGGGCCCTAAGCGCGGGCCAAGTGACGTCACTCTCCCCGCCCACGCAGTTTGAGGCGGGGCCTGCTTCGCCTCAGGCCCCGCCCCGCGGCCACCTTCTGCGCGTGCGCAATACTGCAGCCTCGCTTGGAGTGCTTTTGGCTTTCCTTATACCTACCCGCCATAGACCGCGCAGGAGGAACTTAGTCCCGGTGAAGCGAATACACGTCACCACCGGAAGTAGTGTCAAAGGGGAAGAGGAGGGGGAAAGACAGGAAGAGGGAGTCCTTTGGACGGTAAAATGGCGCCTGTCAGAGTGGGAAACCCAGCTGCAGAGGCTGCAGCCCCGGTCCCCAGCGGCTAAAGGACCCCCGAGCTCGGGGAGGGGGAGGCCGCTCCGGCCCAGCGCTCTGCGCCCTCCGGCTCCCCCTCCCCCTCCTTCCCTGCTCCTTCGCTCTGCAGGCCCGTTCTCCGCTGCCGCGGCCCTTTGCGCGCCGCTGCCCCCGCCCTCCCCGTTCCTGCGAGCAGCCCCCTAGCGCGCCTGCGCAGCGGGCCACTCTCTGCTTTCCCCCCCTCCCCTTCCCTTTTCCCTTCCTCCCTTTTCCCTAGCCCCCTCCCCCACTGCCCCCTCCCCCAATTATCCTTCCCCTTCCCTCCAGGTCTCGGAGGACCCCATCCTAGCCCTACCTGTCTCGGCCCGCAACCTCCCCGAAGCCGTCGGTGCCACTCCCAGCCCATGTGGGCCCCCGCGGGCTGCCCACGCCTGTCCCCCAGCTCCCCGTTCCGCTGGGCTTTACCCTCGCCAGGGGTGGCTTTCTGAGCCGCCCGCTCCGTGCCCCTCTCTGCAGCCTCTCCTGCCACTCGGGGCCCCCGTTCCCCCTCCCGGCGGCGGGGGGCTGCCCCCGGGGGGCTGGCGGAGCTGGGCCGCGGGGGCCCCGGGGCCGGCGGTGCCGGGGTCATCGGGATGATGCGGACGCAGTGTCTGCTGGGGCTGCGCACGTTCGTGGCCTTCGCCGCCAAGCTCTGGAGCTTCTTCATTTACCTTCTGCGGAGGCAGATCCGCACGGTGAGCCAGGGTGGGCGCTGGCGGTGTTGGGGACGTCTGGCGGTGTTGGGGACATCTGTCCGTGGTGCTCAGGGGTTTTCGGAGTGTCGGGCCTCTGTTTGGGCCTAGGAAGGGAATCCTGGCTGGGGCTTTTCTCGCCAGAGAATTGGGCACCCTAAGCGGGGCGAGGTGGGAGACCCTTGTAATAGAACCTTGCCCTTGGGGGTTTTGATGGGGCTAGATGGGACAGGATTTGGCAACTCTTGGGGGCTAAGGTGGTGGGTGGGGCGCTCTTTAAGAAAGCTGGAGTTGTTGCTAAAGAAACCAAGAGGCGGGGAACACCTGTTTGATGACAGCCGGATCTGTGGATGTGGGCTTGGGAAAGACCCTATTTGGAACCTCGGTGTGTGTTTGGTCCTATAACAAGGAAGAGACAGACTTGTGTGTCAAGGGTGGAGGTGGGTGGGAGGGCATACGTTACAAACAAGGACGGGAACTTGGGAAAGCCCTGGGTGTGAAGGAGAAACGCCTGCGGTTCCCATTAAGAGAATTCCTCCAAAAAGGCTGTGAAAATTTATTTCATAGTGTGAGTGTAGGTATCTGGATTTATTGAAGACTAAAGCAGATGCTTTTACGATGGGCCTCTTTAATTGTGGGAGGGAGTTCAAGGTGGGTGCTGTGCCCACCATTGAAGTTTGGGTGTCCCTGTCAGAGGACAGCGCTGGGCAGTTGTAGGGCTTGAAAATGAGGACGTTTGCTTCTCCAGGAGAGCCTAGCATTCTGAGGGAAACTGTCCGGATGGACCCAAGCATCTCTGGGTCCCCTCTCCCTTAGCTTTTCTCCAAGGTCAGAGGTCCTTCAGCTAACAGCACTTTAAATGAATGTGCTCTTGTGGTCTCACCACCACCAGGGAGAATCCTCGGAAGGAGTCTGGGGAGAATTTAGTAAGCGGAGACACAGGTTCTGGGTCTGTACTGTGGTCTGTACCCCTTAGCATACCTCAATACAATTTGAAAGAATAAACCCAGGTTGGGGTGACCTGGGGTCCAGAGAATTTCCAGAAAGCCCTCAGTGGTAGTGGTGGTTGATTTAACTGATTTGGGAGAATGGGTCTGGCCTTGGGTTCATTCTGTCCTTTACCAGTCTGCTTCCACTTCCTGATTTAGGGCGCGAACAGTACAGGATGGTTGTGGCTGTAGGCAGCAGCGCTATTCCCCCGAGACAAGAGCTAGGAGCCAAGAAAAATTTAGGGTCAGAGATGCTGGGATATGTGTGGGGCTATCTCCTGGGGTTTTCTTTTCTTTTCTGAGACAGTCTCGCTTTGTCGCCCAGGCTGGAGTGCAGTGGTGCCATCTCCGCTCACTGCAACCTCCACTTCCTGGGTTCAAGCGATTCTCCTGCTTCAGCCTCTCGAATAGCTGGGATTACAGGCACCTGCCACCACACCTGGCTAATTTTTGTAATTTTAGTAGAAACGGGTTTTCACCATGTTGGCCAGGATGGTCTCAAACTCCTGACCTCAAGTGATCTGCCCGCCTTGGCCTCACAAAAGTACTGGGATTGAGCCACTGCACCCGGCCTCCAGCGGTTTTCTTTATGGGTTGACTGCCATCTTCTCTGACGTTCTCGCTCCAACACATCAGTTTTCTG
The DNA here is from genome assembly GCF_000001405.40 of Homo sapiens. Lineage (NCBI taxonomy): Eukaryota > Metazoa > Chordata > Mammalia > Primates > Hominidae > Homo > Homo sapiens. The sequence goes on along the minus strand of NC_000017.11, from coordinate 7,249,565 downwards.
GGCATACGGAGTGGTGCTTCAGCTCATCCACAGGTTACTTCCAAAATTGCTCTCCTTTGGGCAGCACTGACCCCATAGCCTTTTGTCCTCCCTTCCCTTCCAATCTGGTTTCTTTCCCCACCCCGCTTCTGGCAGATGCTTGGAGCATTCCCTACATGCCCAGCATATGCAACCCGAGATAGCAAGGCTGGACACTGGAGCTCTTTCGGACCTCATCATGGCCCAGGGAGAAAAGAAGGGCAGATCTTGATTAGGGGGAGAGAGCCCTGTGGGTTTAGAAGGGAGAACCTGGTTCTGGTGTGGCTTGGGGCCTAGGTATGCACTGAAGAGGGTTTGTACCTTTGAAGAAAAGTGTGGAAGAGGGAATTGCCAGGCTTTGTATGGGGAGATGTGCGTATTAGGAAATAGCCCCTAGAGAATGCTTGGAGAAGCAGAGCTGGATGAGGTGGTGACGTCCTTGTCCCTTATTCACCTCTCACTTAACGGCCCTGACTTCACTCTGGCCTCCTCCAGACCCTGCCAGTCAGCCTGGCAGGGGCTTTCCAGTGTTCTTTGCCTCACCCTGGGTACCAGGATAAGGAGACTGTTCAGAGGGCTGAGGTTCTCTGAACTTGTGACTTGGCTAGAAGGGACAGAAGTGGACAGGTGGCTGGTTAAAATAGGCCTGGTGGCTTCTAGCCAGAGGAACTTAGCTGACCTGACAACCTCTGGATTCCCTCATTCTATATTCCCATTAAGGACCCAGGGATCTCCTCCCGACTCCTACTCCATGTGCACTAGGGAATCTGAGGCACTTAGTTCCCAATGATGGTAGTTGCTACAAATAATTCTTGGGGTGAAGGTTGCGTTGTGGGGGTCGTTTCTTTGTTCAGTGTAGCAGGATAATATCACAGTTAAGAGGGCAGCTTCGGCCGGGGGTGGTGGCTCTTGCCTGTAATCCCAGCACTTTGGGAAGCTGAGGCAGGTGGATCATGAGGTCAGGAGCTCAAGACCAGCCTGGCCAATATGGTGAAACCCCGTCTCTACTAAAAATACAAAAATTAGCTGGGCGTGGTTCGCGCGCCTATAGTCCCAGCTGCTTAGGAGGCTGAGGCAGGAGAATTGCTTGAACCTGGGAGGTGGAGGTTGCAGTGAGCTGAGATCGCGCCACTGCACTCCAGCCTGGGCAATGGAGTGAGACTCCCTTCTCAAAAAAAAAAAAAAGAAAAAAAAAGAGGGCACGTTCTTGGGTTGAACTGCATTGGTACAATCCTGGCTCTATCACTTCATTGATTCTACTTTTTTTTTTTTTTTTTTTTTTTTTTTTGCGACGGAGTCTTGCTCTGTCACCAGGCTGGAGTACAGTGGTGCGATCTCGGCTCACTGCAACCTCTGCCTCCTGGGTTCAAGCCACTCTGCTGCCTCAGCCTCCCGAGTAGCTGGGGCTATGGGCACGCACCACCACGCCCAGCTAATTTTTATATTTTTAGTAGAGACGGGGTTTCACCATGTTGGCCAGGATGGTCTCCGTCTCTTGACCTTGTGATCCGCCTGCCTTGGCCTCCCAAAGTGCTGGGATTACAGGCATGAGCCACTGCGCCTGGCTGATTCTACTAATATCAACTGACCACTTTTGCTACTGTGTTCTAGGCACTGGGAATACAGCCATGATCTAGACAAAATCATATTCTCATGGAGTTTTCATTTTAATTAGGGAGAGAAACAACTTAAGATAATTCCTAGCTGTGTGGCCTCAGTTTCTTTAACCTTAAAACAGGTATAACAGTAATATTATGGTTGTTTTGAGGATTAAATGAAAAAGGCCAGCGTAGTGGCTCATTCCTGTAATCCCAGCACTTTGGGAGGCAAAGGCAGGAGGATCACAAGGTCAGGAGTTTGAGACCAGCCAGGCCAATATAGTTAAACCCCGCCTCTACTAGAAATACAAAAATGAGCCGAGCGTGGTGGTGCACGCCTGTAGTCCCAGCTATTAGGGAGGCTGAGGCAGGAGAATTGCTTGAACCTGGGAGGCGGAGGTTGCAGTGAGCCGAGATCATGCCGCTGCACTCCAGCCTGGGCAACAGAGCGAGACTCCATCTCAAAAAAAAAAAAAAAAGAAGAAGAAATAAGCCTAAATTACATACATAGTACCTGTGGTAAATGTTCATTATGTGCTCCCTGTTACTGTTACTGGGGAAGGCTTCCTTATCAAGGGTTTCAATCCTCTTTTGTGCTATTTGTAGGTAATTCAGTACCAAACTGTTCGATATGATATCCTCCCCTTATCTCCTGTGTCCCGGAATCGGCTAGGTAAGTATGTGGTGGGAAGCCTCCTTTAGGGTGAAGTAGGGGCTAGCTCTGGGTCAGAGGTCGGTCAATATTATTCCTCCCCACTCTGGTTCAGCCCAGGTGAAGAGGAAGATCCTGGTGCTGGATCTGGATGAGACACTTATTCACTCCCACCATGATGGGGTCCTGAGGCCCACAGTCCGGCCTGGTACGCCTCCTGACTTCATCCTCAAGGTGTGTGGTGGTGGGGAGTGATGAAATGGTTCCATCTGTTCCTCTGCCCAAACCTGGACTCCCTTTCCCAGTCCCAGAGCATCTGTCTCCATCCGCTGGCACCAGTGTCAGCCTGGAGGAGGGAAGCAGATGGGTGGGGCGTTTTCTAGGCCTGGGTTGTGGTGGTCATGACATCCCCCAGCCCATCTTGTTCCTCTGTAGGTGGTAATAGACAAACATCCTGTCCGGTTTTTTGTACATAAGAGGCCCCATGTGGATTTCTTCCTGGAAGTGGTGAGTTTTGGAGAGCTAAAGGGAGCTCTGTAATGAAGGAATGGTTTTAGGGCTCTGGGAATTGGGAGGATTTGGAGGAAGGGGTGAGGAGAAACGGGTTAGAGCAGTTTTCTAGAGGGGAGGCTGTGTAATGGTAGGGGAGTGGCTTTCAGTACTTGGGGTTCATTTGTTGTGCTGATGTAATTCTTTTCCGCTGGCATCTTTCTCTTTTGTTCTTGCATTTCTGAATCATAAGAGTGTAGGATGCCTAACACTGAGTTTGGAGGTTTGGGCTGGGGGTTCAGAATTTCGTGTCCTCAGAGACATTTGATGTTGATGGAAGGCCTGAAGGACTATGCCATTGCCTTTCTGAAAGATAACTGTATGTCTAAAGGAATCATCACCTTGTATGGCATCGCCCTCTCCCCCAATCTATTTCAGGTGAGCCAGTGGTACGAGCTGGTGGTGTTTACAGCAAGCATGGAGATCTATGGCTCTGCTGTGGCAGATAAACTGGACAATAGCAGAAGCATTCTTAAGAGGAGATATTACAGACAGGTAAGCTAGAATCCCAGTCTAAGAGTGTGGCTTGGGAGGGAGGCCACCAGGGAGGGATCTGGGTTTGAGGAGAGTATCCTGGAGAGAGGCCTGCTACATGATCCCCTGCCTTCCAGCACTGCACTTTGGAGTTGGGCAGCTACATCAAGGACCTCTCTGTGGTCCACAGTGACCTCTCCAGCATTGTGATCCTGGATAACTCCCCAGGGGCTTACAGGAGCCATCCAGGTACGGGGGAAGGTGGTGAGTCTGGCAGGACCAGAACATGGTTCTGAGAAGGTATTTTTGCAGGAGACCTGGGCTTTGGTCCTTGAGAGCTGGGATTCCCTAGATTATCCCTAGTTTGCTGTAAGTCGAAATGCAAGTTATTTTTGTGTTTCAAATGAGATACCATATATGTCCATTTCATAAGTCGGATTTCTTATATCATTTTTTTCATTTTTAAAATTTATTTTTGGCTGGGCACGGTGGATTATGCTTGTAATCCCAGCACTTTGGGAGGCCGAGGCAGGCGGATCACGAGGTCAGAAGTTCGAGACCAGCCTAACAAACATGGTGAAACCCCATCTCTACTAAAAATAGAAAAAACTAGCCAGGCGTGGTGGCGCACGCCTGTAATCCCAGCAACTCGGGAGGCTGAGGCAGGAGAATCGCTTGAACCCGGGAGGCGGAGGTTGCAGTGAGCCGAGATTGCACCATTGCACTCCAGCCTGGGTGACAGAGCGAGACGCCGTCTCAAAAAAAATAAATAATAAATAAATAAAAATAAAATTTATTTTTATTTATTTTTTGAGATAGGGTCTCACTCTGTTCCCAGGCTGGAGTGCAGTGTCATGATCATAGCTCACTGCAGCCTCGATCTCCCAGGCTCAAGTGATCCTTCTGCCTCAGCCTCTCAGTAGTTGGGACTACAGGCGTGCACCACCATGCCCAGCTAATTTTTTTATTTTTTATTTTTTTTTGAGACAGAGTCTCGCACTGTCACCCAGGCTGGAATGCAGTGGCGTGATCTCGGCTTACTGCAACCTCCGACTTCCAGGTTCAAGCAATTCTCCTGCCTCAGCCTCCCAAGTAGCTGGGATCACAGGCACCTGCCACCACGCGCAGCTAATTTTTTGTATTTTTAGTAGCGACGGAGTTTCACCACGTTGGCCAGGCTGGTCTTGAATTCCTGACCTCGTGATTCGTCCGCTTTGGCCTCCCAAAGTGCTGGGATTACAGGCGTAAGCCACTGCCCTTGGCCAATTTTTTGATTTTTAGTAGAGAAGGGATCTCATTATGTTGCCCAGGCTGGACTCAAACTCCTGAGCTCAAGTGATCCTCCCACCTCGGCCTCTCAAAGTGTTGGGATAACAGGTGTGAGCCACTGCGCCTGGCCAAGTGTGTTTCAAGTGAGGCACAATGGCAGTAAGCTTGACTAGAAGCATCAATAGGTATGAGATCTGGTGATTAAAACTTAGTTTCGGAGCATAAACCAGGAAAGTTTTACTTAGGTTGTTGACTTCCGGTAGTGGGAGGCATATATTTTTAACAATAATTCCTCCTTCCCTCCAAGAAGAGAAAAACACCGTCTCTCTTGAATTCTGTTTCTTCTCATCTGCATTTTCACCCACCCTAGACAATGCCATCCCCATCAAATCCTGGTTCAGTGACCCCAGCGACACAGCCCTTCTCAACCTGCTCCCAATGCTGGATGCCCTCAGGTAAGGGAAGTGGGCTCTGGACACTTGGATATCTCAAGAAAGGAGGAGGTGGGGGATCCTCAGAGGGAATAAAAAAGGTTTGTCCTGTTTTAACTCTGTTCCCTTAAGAATTTAACATTTGGACCCAGGTCGTCTTACTTCAAAGCTCATCACTTTAGCTAGTAGGCTGTGGGCAAATTGAACCTATCTAATCATGAATATGGTGATAATTTAGGTCCCACATCTCCAGTGATGCTGCCTTACAAGAGTGTTGTGAGGGTATGAACTATAAGGTACTCTACCAATGCAAGTTATTGTCACCCCAGGTTCACCGCTGATGTTCGTTCCGTGCTGAGCCGAAACCTTCACCAACATCGGCTCTGGTGACAGCTGCTCCCCCTCCACCTGAGTTGGGGTGGGGGGGAAAGGGAGGGCGAGCCCTTGGGATGCCGTCTGATGCCCTGTCCAATGTGAGGACTGCCTGGGCAGGGTCTGCCCCTCCCACCCCTCTCTGCCCTGGGAGCCCTACACTCCACTTGGAGTCTGGATGGACACATGGGCCAGGGGCTCTGAAGCAGCCTCACTCTTAACTTCGTGTTCACACTCCATGGAAACCCCAGACTGGGACACAGGCGGAAGCCTAGGAGAGCCGAATCAGTGTTTGTGAAGAGGCAGGACTGGCCAGAGTGACAGACATACGGTGATCCAGGAGGCTCAAAGAGAAGCCAAGTCAGCTTTGTTGTGATTTGATTTTTTTTAAAAAACTCTTGTACAAAACTGATCTAATTCTTCACTCCTGCTCCAAGGGCTGGGCTGTGGGTGGGATACTGGGATTTTGGGCCACTGGATTTTCCCTAAATTTGTCCCCCCTTTACTCTCCCTCTATTTTTCTCTCCTTAGACTCCCTCAGACCTGTAACCAGCTTTGTGTCTTTTTTCCTTTTCTCTCTTTTAAACCATGCATTATAACTTTGAAACCAAAGCGGCCTTAGGTCCTTCTCTGGGGTTTTGGGAAGTGAAGAGAGGGGACTTTGTTCACATGCACCCTGTCCCACAGGCAGAGGGGGAAGAGACTGCTGTTGGACTCAAGGGGCAGGGGGAAAGGTGGCGTTGAGTATAGGGATAGAATAATGCGGACACCAGATGCCTGGGATACAATAATGCTGACACCAGATGCTTTGGCGGGAAGGGCCGAGTGACAGGATGGGCGCGCTGGTGGGGAGTGGAAGGACACCTTCGGAGAAGCAGGCTATGGAAGCACGAAAGGAGAAACCGGCTATGGAAGCACGAAAGGAGAAACCTGGACGGCCAAAGGGCGTAGAGCTGGAGAAACCGGGCTTCGTCCGGGGCACTGACGTGGACAGGTTAAGCGGGCGCTGCCCCCAGGTGGCTGGCGCCCCGACCTCCGCTGTCCGGGAAGGCGTCGGTCCCCCTCCCAGCTGTCGCCCAGCCGGCCCCGCCTCCCCGGCGCCCTCCCAAGCCGGCCCTACTTCGCGCACCCGCCACGTGACGCTCCGCCCTCTTTGAGATCACATGATTTAACTCAAGTCCCGCAGTGTTCCTCCGCGCTGGCGTAGTCCCTACCTTTCCAACCTCCTCTCCAGTCCCTATTGGTCTACTCATTTTGGCACTTAAGCGTTCTGTAGATCTCTCCAAACATCTGTTTTCTTTTTGACTTCTTATTTCTGGAGATCATCTCCGCCACTTGGGTACTACTTTGTTTTGGTGTCAACGGCCGCCTTCAGCGTAGCAACACGGTTCGTGAATAGCTAACCTTGTAATTGTCCCTGCTGTTCCTCTACGTTGTTAACGAAAGGAACTTGGAGAACCAAGTCTCGTATGATGATTACCATCTTTTACTCCTCTTCAGCCCCAGCTTCCTTGAGGGGACGGTTGGGGAATAGGTTTAGAGTAATTTTCGATGAGCAAAAGCCAACCGTCTTTGCTACGTCGCCTGCGTAGCCCACAAATTGATTCCAAAGCGATTACGCTAATGGCGTGAGGGGGCCGGTCAGTTGGTGGTGCTACGCTAGCAGCGTTAGCGCCGCTGAGGTAGTGGCGTATCTTAGCGGGGGGGGCAGTCCCCGATAGTCGGGGGCGGGGTTGGTGAATAGGGAAGTGGCGCAAATTCGTGGATCGCTCCGCTGAATCCGCCCGCGCGTCGCCGCCGTCGTCGCCGCCCCCCGTCCCGGCCCCCCTGGGTTCCCTCAGCCCAGCCCTGTCCAGCCCGGTTCCCGGGAGGATGAAGTTCGTGTACAAAGAAGAGCATCCGTTCGAGAAGCGCCGCTCTGAGGGCGAGAAGATCCGAAAGAAATACCCGGACCGGGTGCCGGTGAGGACAGTAGCCAGGGCCGAGGGCGCGGGACGCTTACGCTGACGCCACAGCCTGGCCTTGGATCGGGACAGGCAGCGCAGGGATCAGGCTGCTGGCTGTGGTGGGGTTGGCAGCGAGCCTGAAACTGCTGTCCTTGGGACCCAGGATGAAAGGAGTGGGGTAGTGGTGGATGTGGGGTTGAGAGGGATGTGGACAGGAGAGAGAAACCTTAGCATTTGAGGCCTTAGAGAGTTTGACAGCCTGAGCTTCAAATGGTCATCCCCCCAGCTAGCTAAGGTTGCGAGATTGAATCACTAGTCGACCCAAACAAGTCACCTCCGTCTGATTAAGATAGTTGTTTATGGTGACGCCCTATTGGGGGATGGATCCTGGATATTTAAATGAGCTCCAGTCAGTGAGGTCAGGATCTCTGGGACTCAGTGCTGCACCGCGTGTACAAAGACAAAGAGATGAATCTGGGGTAGATTTAGGTGCTAGGAATATTGTTTCTTGAGTTCTTGACAGGTGCAGCTTCGGGGCTGCATTCCTTCTGTCTCCTAATTTTCATCTCTTTATCAGGTGATAGTAGAAAAGGCTCCCAAAGCTCGGATAGGAGACCTGGACAAAAAGAAATACCTGGTGCCTTCTGATCTCACAGGTGGGAACCTGATCCAAGACTCAGGCTTGCTTCCTGTGGGTGGGAGTGCAGTCTCTGCGGGAGGAGGCTCCACCTAGCAGCTGTTCTTTTGAGGGCATTTTTGACCTCTGTGACTTTCTTGCATCTTGTATCTTTTGCAGTTGGTCAGTTCTACTTCTTGATCCGGAAGCGAATTCATCTCCGAGCTGAGGATGCCTTGTTTTTCTTTGTCAACAATGTCATTCCACCCACCAGTGCCACAATGGGTCAGCTGTACCAGGTATGGTGACTGGGAAGTGGTGGAGGCTTTGGAGAGGAATCTTGGAAGAGCGTGAGGGGAAGAAAGTGTTGTTACATCAGTAGTTTTGGACTAGCTTCCTGGCTTGCCTTAAAGTTTCATAATAGCCGTGGGTTGGGGGTTTGGACAGAACAGTAGGAGTAGAGAGAAGGAAAGAGAACAGTGAGCTAGAGAAACTATCTGTTCGGGACTCTTCCCAGTCCCCCTCCCCATTCCAAAGCAGCAGAAAACAGTTTGAGGCCTTTTTGCCCAGGACTGCAGAGATTATACTGCTCGTGTGGTAGGCCTTGGAGTCAGTGAAGGAGTCAGGCAATGGTTTGTGGTTCTAGAAGAACGTGTCTGGGTCGTGGTTGGTTTAAGTTACTGGAGCCCAGTTGCTGAACAGTTTTCTGCTTTCATCCCAGGAACACCATGAAGAAGACTTCTTTCTCTACATTGCCTACAGTGACGAAAGTGTCTACGGTCTGTGAAGCTGCTGCCCCTGAGCTGGAGGGGGGTCTCATTCTACAAAGAGAGAGGTGGCCCCCCTTTCTTGACCTCCTCCTCCTTCAAGCTCAAACACCACCTCCCTTATTCAGGACCGGCACTTCTTAATGTTTGTGGCTTTCTCTCCAGCCTCTCTTAGGAGGGGTAATGGTGGAGTTGGCATCTTGTAACTCTCCTTTCTCCTTTCTTCCCCTTTCTCTGCCCGCCTTTCCCATCCTGCTGTAGACTTCTTGATTGTCAGTCTGTGTCACATCCAGTGATTGTTTTGGTTTCTGTTCCCTTTCTGACTGCCCAAGGGGCTCAGAACCCCAGCAATCCCTTCCTTTCACTACCTTCTTTTTTGGGGGTAGTTGGAAGGGACTGAAATTGTGGGGGGAAGGTAGGAGGCACATCAATAAAGAGGAAACCACCAAGCTGAACTGAATTTTGCCTTGTGTTGCTCCCCTCGTCCCGCTGATTTTAAGTCTTTCCAAGGTGTCAGTGGGTTTCAGTGGTGGGGAAAGAAGAGTACTGGGTACAAGCTGGAGGGATAGAAGTATATTTTGGTTTATTCTGTTCATGTTGGGCTTTTCCCTGTCTGCAAAAAGAGGGTGCTTTTGTTGTGATGGAATGGAATACTGAGGATTATTTCTTGAAACTTTAGTTTTATAACACGCATGTGAAACTAAATGTTAAAAATGCTCATGTAAAAAAAAATTTTTTTTTACTGTGGGTTCCTGTGGAGAAAGTTCCGAAGTACCTGCTTTAGGTGAACATCCACATTTGCTAGAACATTCTAACTAAGATATTTTCATGTGTGCAAGCTAGTAAAACGGCTGTTCTCAGTTGCATGTCACTTGGCTAGACTTTTGCCGGTGTGTGGGATCCGGCAGAGTGGAATCAGGGAGGGAGAAGACTGGGAGCGGGAGCCATTATCGCCAGGAATACTTCAACTCCCAGCAATCATTTCTCCGGCAGGCCGGAAGTGGGGCGGTCCTCCTGGGGAGAAAGAAGCTGCAGAACGAGGCAGTATGGTGGCCGAGAGTTCTAATCCCTTCTTCCTCTTCTTTCTTGGTCCCGCCCAGCCTACATCTCCCAGGGGCCTGCGCGCGCACTTCCGCTCTCCCCTCCGGCTCCTGGTCTCCCCGCCGCTCCCCGGGGGAGGGGAGCGGCTTGGTGCGCCTGCGCCAGCCTGTGGCTTTCTGGGAATCAAAGTTCCGGAGGTTCATGCGGTCCCTTTTCCGCTGTTCCCGGACGGACTACAAAACCCTTGGTGCACTGCGCCTCGGCGCCGGCGGGGGGAGGAGGGAGAGAAGAGGAGGGAGGGAGGAGAGAGGAGGTGGAGGAGGAGGAGGAGGGAGCAGGCGGCCGGCGGCGCGGGGGGAGGGGGCCCGGTCCGGGAGTGCGGGAGGCAGTGGTAGAGGGAGGTGGCGGCAGCGGCTAGCGGACTCGAGTCTCAACCGGGCTGAGGCGGACACTTCTGTGGAGCGAAGCAGTGGGAGCATCGAGCACTAGAGGCGGCACCGGGATCCCCGGCTCCGGGGAGGGGGGCGCCGGACCGGGAGGAGGGGAGGGGGCGATGCTGGAAGCCATGGCGGAGCCCAGTCCCGAAGGTGAGCTCTCGACCGGTGCAGAGCGCTGAGCCGGCGGGGGGCGGGCGAGGAATCAATTGGCAAACTTGGAGGTCGAGCCCCGGAGCCCAGCGGGGGAGTTCGGGGAGGGGGTCGGGAGGCTGGCCCTGGAGGTGGGAGAGCGACGAGTTGAGAGACCTTGGAGAAAGAGGAGTGGGAAACTGGGCTGGGGTAGTTGGAGATCAGACGGTGTGGGGGTGCGGGGGATAGGAGCTTGAAACCCGGAGCCTCGGGGGTTAGGGCCCGAAAGGGCCACCGGCAGATTGGGGCCCTGGAACTGGAAGGTTAGGGGAATCCAGTGGCCGGAGAGTTGCTCAGGAGGGAGGACGTAGAAGAGGCTGAGTGAGGGGCCCGGTAGTTCGCCGAGGTGGGGTAGTTTGTGGCGGTGGTACCGGAGCTCCGAGTAGTTGCCGCCGGAGAATGCCCGGTGATTGTCGGAGAGGTGGGCAGGTAGTTGTGGGGAGAAGAGGGGGTCTGGGTATTGTCTACGGCAGACGGACCTGTACCGGGGGGTAGTTGTGGAGAGAGCGAGCCAGGAAGCGAGGCGAGCTGGGTAGTTGTAGGGGGTGGTGGGGCGGGGTGGGGGGGGTTAAGACCGGCGACTTGTCGGGCGGGGGGGTAGGGTTGGTCCGCGAGGGTTAAGAGCCTGGGAGTTGCTGAGGGTGAGGGGGGCATCGGCGGCAGCAGCGGTGGCTGCTGTGGAGAGAGAGAGAGAGTGGCTGGTTGGGGGGAAGGGGCCAGAGTTGAGGGGTCCATAGCCTAGTAACTGGGTGGTGAGTACGGGGGCGGAGGGGGGGGCGGCGGCCGGAGAGGGCTAGGAACAGGGCCGGGGGGCCCGGTGGGGAGCCCGAAAAGCTGGAGACGGGGAGGGGCCAAAGCCCCGGATGGGGGCGGAGGGACGGCGAAATTGTGGGGAGCGCGGTATGGGCGGGGGGGGGGGGGCAGGTGGGGGCCGCGTCCGGGTTAGAGCTCCCGGGTCTGTCCCGGCCGTGAAGTAGCGTTGGATGCGTGTGCCTGTGTGTGTCTGGGGTGGGGGTGAGGGGCGCGCCGGGCCGCGTGCTCGAGTAGAAGGGGCCGGAGGGCGGGGAGCGGTTCGGCGTGGTCATCCTGGACCCTGGGGGCTGGCGGGCGGCGTGTGCGGTCTCGGAGGGCCCGAGGCGGTGGAGCGCGGCCGGGTAGGAACTCGGGGCTCCGGGCGCGTGTGAAGGACGGGGGCGGCTGGCGGCGGCCCGGACGCGGCCCCGGGAGCGGTACGGTGGGGTGGGGCGCTGAGGGATCCGAGTAGACTGGAGTCGAGAGAGACCGTGAGTTGGGGGGGCGGGGCGCCGGGCCTCCGGTTGGGGGAAGGGGAGCGCTATAGCGAGGCCTCAGAGGGCGCCGCGCCCAGGCTCCGCCCCTCGCGGGGCGGAAGGGGGAGCCGGGGCGGATCCAACACAGCTGGGGGCCTGCTGGCCTGGCAGAGGGACCTGGGAGAGCAGGGGGTTCACTTAGGAACAACGGGGTTTAGAGGGGGAGTTTTACACAGATTGTTCCTAGTGTCTTGACTCAGCTTTTATTGCTTTTCCAGATCCACCTCCGACCCTTAAGCCAGAGACTCAGGTGAGGTTTGCCTTACCTTTGCAGCCTAGTAGCCCTGCCTGACAACGCCCCCCGCCCCCCTTTTCTAGACCTCACTTAGGGACTGTGTTTCTGGGAATGCCATTCTTAAACTGTGTGGCTTTGCATGTGATCCATATCTCCTTCCTTTCAGCCACCAGAGAAACGGCGGAGAACAATTGAGGATTTCAACAAATTCTGCAGTTTTGTTTTGGCATATGCTGGTTACATTCCCCCTAGCAAAGAGGTAGGGGCAAGAGAATTACTGACTTGAGGCTGGTGTGGTGGGACTATAGAGTGACTGTTGTTCAAACAGAACTGTATTGCTTTATAGAAGGAGGCCCTTAGAAATTATATGTAAGACCAGGGAAGTTGGAGACTCTTAGGGCTGTGGTAGGAAAGCTGGTATGCGGGGAGTGGATGGCCGGGATAGCTAGCTTGAACAGCAGTGAAAAGGAAGGGGGATTTGGAGTCGCTGGTTGAGATTTTGGCATAGTCTTGAGGTGCTGTGAATGGAAGGTGTTTATGGATAAATTTTAGGGAGATGAAAATGGTAACAAATGAGGCTATACAGAAAAAGAGCTAAGGACATAACGGCTCCGGTCTGGGTGATACAGTGTTCCACAGGCCCTGGGCAGGGGCAGCGGTGAGGTGTCAGACTTGAGGGTAGAGGTAACACGGACTGGTCAAGAGGACATGCTGATGGGAATTGGGGTGGGGAGAAGTTTTTGGAGTACAGTGGGATTTAGTGGTTGAGGTAGGACATTTTGGGGTAAATCCAGTCACTCCTTTTCAAGCTGGGTTTGTGGAGGGGCTGAGATGACACTGGGGTTCTGCTGACCCTGGTCTCTTCCCCCTTTTAAGGAAAGTGACTGGCCAGCCTCTGGCTCCAGCTCTCCATTGCGAGGAGAGAGTGCGGCCGACAGTGATGGCTGGGACTCGGCCCCCTCAGATCTTCGAACCATCCAGACTTTTGTTAAGAAAGCAAAGTCATCCAAGAGAAGGGCAGCTCAAGCAGGTCCCACCCAGCCAGGACCCCCAAGGTCCACTTTCTCTCGTCTGCAGGCCCCCGACAGTGCTACCTTGCTTGAGAAGATGAAGCTCAAGGACTCTCTCTTTGATCTGGATGGGCCCAAAGTGGCATCTCCTTTGTCCCCCACATCCCTGACACATACCTCCCGGCCCCCTGCTGCTCTTACCCCCGTGCCCCTTTCCCAGGGGGACCTCTCCCATCCTCCTCGAAAGAAGGACCGAAAGAACCGAAAGTTGGGGCCAGGAGCTGGGGCTGGCTTTGGGGTGCTTCGGAGGCCTCGGCCAACTCCTGGGGATGGGGAAAAGAGATCTCGAATCAAGAAGAGCAAGAAGCGGAAGTTAAAAAAGGCAGAACGGGGGGATAGACTCCCACCTCCTGGGCCTCCCCAGGCACCCCCCAGTGATACAGACTCTGAAGAGGAGGAGGAAGAGGAGGAAGAGGAAGAAGAAGAAGAGATGGCAACAGTGGTAGGGGGTGAAGCCCCAGTCCCTGTGCTGCCAACACCCCCTGAGGCTCCTAGGCCCCCTGCCACAGTGCACCCTGAAGGAGTCCCTCCTGCTGACAGTGAAAGCAAGGAGGTGGGCAGCACTGAAACAAGCCAAGATGGAGATGCCAGCTCCAGTGAAGGCGAGATGCGGGTCATGGACGAGGACATCATGGTAGAATCAGGTGAGAGGTTCGGGCTGGGGCGAGGGGTTTGAGGGTGTTGTGGATCCAACAGCTCAGGCAGAATACCAAACAAACCTTTTTTTCCCCAGGTGATGACTCATGGGATCTGATCACATGTTACTGTCGAAAGCCCTTTGCAGGGCGGCCCATGATTGAGTGCAGCCTGTGTGGGACGTGGATCCACCTCTCCTGTGCTAAGATTAAGAAGACCAACGTCCCCGACTTCTTTTATTGCCAGAAATGCAAGGAACTGAGGCCAGAGGCCCGGCGGTTAGGGGGGCCTCCCAAATCTGGAGAGCCCTGATGGCACCAACTTTAGCCTGGAACTTCCAAATGACAACATGATTTGGGAACTGAGCCTCAGGGTCCTCAGCCTATCCCCTGGAGCTTGGATACTGTCTGCACTTCAAGGCAGGAATTCTCAAGGGAGACTTGTTTGAAAATGAGTGTCTCACTTTCCCACCCTATCCTTCCTCCCCACTCTGTGGACTTGAAATTGAATCCATTACGGTTGGGGATGGGAGGCTGTCTGTGTCCCGACACATAATCTCTGTCTCTTGGACCTGCCACCATCACTTTCTGGGTCAGGATTGGAATTGGGATGGAATGGGACAGTTGTCTATAAAACTCTAGTGTAAATATTAGCACTCCCCTCCCTCATCTTTTCTTCTATTTCACTCCCCATTTATTTTCTTCTACACCGGTTGTATTTTTAATTTTGGACTTCCCCTATTGGGCATGGCAGCTCAAAGGTGGAGTACTAGAGCCTGGCCAAGTGAGGAAGGAAAGCAGAAAGGTGACGATTCTCACTCACCTCTTTTGTTTTTAATAATATCGGCCGCTGTTTGTACAGACAGCCTGCGTGTTGTAAATAAAGCAGAGTGGGCTCTTTTGTGTTTATAGCCCTCACTGTCCTGCTCGGGAGGGAGGCTTTGGTGGCTGAAGACTAGCTGGAGGTGGGGCTGAAACCCACGTCTCAAAGTCCAATCTGAAGATATCACAGCACTGGGCCTTTCCCACCCCAAGACAAGTAAGCCACCTTAGAGCTTTCATTGTATTTGGCCCTCCCCACTCGAGTCTAGGAACCCCCACAGTCCCCACCTTCACTCCCTGCACGCACACTCCTGCGGGTCAGAGTTGCTTCGTGCTCCATCGTGGGTGGGGTAAAGCGGGGTGGGAGCCGATGGTCCGTTTCCTGAAGGCACAGGCCAGCTTAGCCTGGGTGCTCAGAGGACCTCGGCTGGGGTACACGTTTGGGGGCTGGGAGACCGTTGCTGAAGGCAGCGATCATGTGGCGGGGGCACTAGGCGGAGTCAGACGGTCACGTGATTGGGAGGGGATCACGTGACGGAGGGCGGCTGAGGAGCGCGGGGTGGCTGCCTTTAAGTCACGTGACATGAGGAGAGGTGGGCGGGTACCTGGAGGAAGCTCGCGGCGTCGGTGGCGGTGGCGCGCGGCGGCCGCTGAGACCGGGGCTTTGAGTCGCACCCCGCGGCCCGCCCCCCGCCGCCACCCTCGCAGATCCGTGCTTTTTCCCCTTTGCTTCTCTCCCGTACTGGGTCAGTCCTGTCCGCGCTCGCGCGTCGGTTTGCGGGTGTGCGCAGGCGCGGCAGGGGCCATTAGCCCTTTGGGTGGGCGGTGGAGCCCGGGAGCGCGCGGGCGAGACCATGGCGGGTAGCAGCACTGGGGGCGGTGGGGTTGGGGAGACGAAGGTGATTTACCACCTGGATGAGGAAGAGACTCCCTACCTGGTGAAGATCCCTGTCCCCGCCGAGCGCATCACCCTCGGCGATTTCAAGAGCGTCCTGCAGCGGCCCGCGGGCGCCAAGTACTTTTTCAAGTCTATGGATCAGGATTTCGGGTGAGCGCAAGGCCTAGATAGGACCGGCGGGGGCTTTGCTAGAGTGGATTGGGCGACATGGAGGGGCACACGTCTACTTTGGGCCACACTGGGATTTTCTGGCCTATGGTGGAGCAGATTGTACTATGCTGAGGTAGGTTGACTATCCCAGGATGGACAAGGTTATGCTTGGATAGATTGAGGCACACGGACAGACTAGGATATCCTAAACCAGATTAGACAAGATTAGGCTTTACTGGAATAGGTGGGGGCATACTGGTTTATGTTGGAGTATTCTAGTCTGTACTGAGTAAATTGATCCATTGTCTGGTTGTTTAGTACGTTCTCAGGAGTCCTGTAACGCCTGTAATCCCAGCACTTTGGGAGGCTGAGGCGGGCGGATCACGAGGTCAGGAGATCGAGGCCATCCTGGCTAACACGGTGAAACCCCATCTCTACTAACTAAAAATACAAAAAATTAGCCGGGCGTGGGGGCACGCGCCTGTAGTCCCAGCTACTTGGGTGGCTGAAGCAGGGAGAATCTCTTGAACCTGGGAGGCGGAGGTTGCAGTGAGCCGAGATCGCGCCACTGCACTCCAGCCTGGGCGACAGTGCGAGACTCCGTCTCAGAAAAAAAACAAAAAACACTTGGGCCATTATGGACTCTACTGGGTTGTATTGGTTAATCCTGGTTTCTCTTGGGGCAAGACTTGGTTTTATTGGAGCACTCGGTATAGGGGCAGACAAGGCTGTTGGGGCCTGTGCTAGCACAGGCAGCCGTATTGGGATGTTCCAATCTAGACTGGTGCAGACAGCTGCGTGTGGGGGCATTGTAGGCTGTGCTAGAATAGATTGGGCTATCCTAGGGTAATTTGGGACATTCAGGGCTATCTTGGACTAGATTGGCGTGTAAATAATGCAGAGAAAGCCCTTTTGTGTTTATGGTCTTTGGGGCTGAGCCTTCTGGGTCCTCAACCTCTGCTTTTTTTTTTTTTTTTTTTTGAGACAGTCTCGCTCTGTCGCCCAGGCTGGAGTGCAGTGGCGCATTCTCAGCTCACTGCAAGCTCTGCCTCCCGGGTCCACGCCATTCTCCTGCCTCAGCCTCCCAAGTAGCTGGGACTACAGGCGTCCGCCACCACACCCGGCTAATTTTTTGTATTTTTTAGTAGAGACGGGGTTTCACCGTTTTAGCCAGACTGGTCTCTGACTTCTGACCTCGTGATTCGCCCGCCTCAGCCTCCCAAAGTGCTGGGATTACAGGCGTGAGCCACCGCGCCCGGCCCAACCTCTGCTTTTTTGAAGGCAGGCTGGATTAAGTTGGGATAGCATGGGTTTTAGAAGAACTGAACAAACTGGACTCTAGCTAGAAAGATTGTTTGACATGGGGATGCTGATACTATCTTGGGAGTTATCTTGGCTTTAAGGCAAGGTTTTTCTAGTTGTCAGCAATGTAATCTTGGACAATTTATTTAAATTTTGTGTCTTGATCTCATCTGTGACATGGAGAAAATCACAGAATGAAATGGTTAGTTCACGTGTGTGGCACACGGGAAATTCTTGGTGAATGGTAATTGTAATTAGCATTGAGGCTGACCACTCTGTAAAGTAGGTTATGGTGATACAGAATAATTTGCCTCAGAGTGGACCAAGCTGTGCTGAGATTGTGTTATGTTGGGAAGAATCCTACATTATGCTGAGACGGGTTAGTAGTGACTGGGCTGTGTTGTCACGTTGACAGCAAATGGATTATGTTGATATATATCCTGGCTCCCATGACCATATTAGGCTAACGGGTTAATTAGACAAGGTGTCCTAATTTGGGGCTAAGGTTGTGTGTGGAAAGAGAGAGAGGAACAACTAGGGTAGAGAGTCTGATGCTTTATACGTTTATTCATTTAGTCGACAGTATTTGTTAATGCTTAAGTGTCAGTGTGTGGTGTGTGGCTAGGACATGGTGTTGACCAGAGTAAGTGTTCATGGTTTGATGTCATGGTCAAGAAGAAGGGGCAAGTCCGGTCCACCACAGGGAACCCATTGGAGAGATGACCCCAAGGCTGGGCTTTGGGATCTGTCAGGTTGAGCAGATTGCTTTGTGCAGAATTTTGTGCCCAGTGAGGCACAGGGGAATGGGAACCCCAGCTTGCCCTCTCCTTGGGAGCTTTCAGTCTAATGAGGAACTTCCATTGTTTGTTTGATCCAATGGGTGGTTTTTTTTTTTTTTTTTTTTTCTGAGGTGGAGTCTCACTCTGCCCAGGCTGGAGTGCAGCGGCGCAATCTCAGCTCACTGCAACCTTCGCCTACTGGGTTCAAGCGATTCTCCTGCTTTGGCCTCCGGAGTAGCTGGGATTATAGGTGTGCACCACCATGCCTGGCTAATTTTTATATTTTTAGTAGAGAAAGGGTTTCACCATGTTGGCCAGGCTGGTCTTGAACTCCTGACCTCAGGTAATCTGCCCACTTTGGCCTCTCAAAGTGCTGGGATTACAGGTGTGAGTCACTACGCCTGGCCTCTAATGGGTGTTTTTACTCAAGAAAGGACAGTCTTCTAGAAATGAATTAGAGAAAACTAAAGGAAAGTATAAGAGTAGAGGCTTTGATGAGGACCAAAGCCTTTTTTGGAAGGTTTTTTTTTTTTTTTTTTTTGAGCCGCCCAGGCTGGAATGCAGTGGCGCGATCTCGACTTACTGCAACCACTGTCTCCCGGGTTCAAGCGACTCTCCCATCTCAGCCTCCTGAGTAGCTGGGATTATAGACACCCACCATCATGCCCGGCTAATTTTTGTATTTTAGTAGAGATGGGGTTTCACCATGCTGGCCAGGCTGGTCTTGAACTCCTGACCTCAGGTGATCCGCCCGCCTCAGCCTCCCAAAGTGCTGGGATTACAGGTGTGAGCCACCGTGCCTGACCTTTTTGGAAGGTTTGTAAGGAACAGGGGTGGGGTTGAGAGGAGGCCACCAGCCAGTCTCATTAGATAGGTATCTCAGGCAGCCGCATCAGCGTGCGGGATTGCTTTTGAAACTGGACTAAGAGGTTTGAGTCAGACTCAAGGAAGTCTTTGGAGCAGCACTGTGCCCCTGAGGGTGCGTTAGGGAGAGGAGAAATAAGGAAAGGGGATTGAGTTTGGAGATTTCTTAGGTGTCGGAGTGAGTTCTTTCAATGTAAGAGAAGACCTGAACAGGGCAGGAGAAAGTCAACATCCTGGAGCCAGGTGAAGATTGGGAGAAAGTTTGATGGGGGTCGGGGTGGGGATGGTTGGTCCAGCTCACTGACCTCTACCTTGTCGCTTGGCAGGGTGGTGAAGGAAGAAATTTCAGATGACAACGCCCGCCTCCCCTGCTTCAACGGAAGGGTGGTATCCTGGGTAAGAGGTTCTGACACCGAGGACCAGGCCCCCTCAGCATTGCCAAGCTCCCTCAAGCCTCAGTCTGTTTCTGTATCCTCCCCAGGCCGCGCGTTAGCAGCCCTGGCTCTTTACCTCCTGTCTGTTTGGAGAGCCGGCGAGAGGCCCTCAGCCTTCTCCTTCTGGAGTCTCTAATACTTGCTAGGTTTTTTTGCTCTTCTCCAGCTCTCTGAGACCCTTTCTCATTCTTTCACTTACTGCCACCTGTCACACCCTGACTCCCAAGTGAGCCACTGTTTATCATTTGCACCCTTCTAGCTGGTGTCCTCAGATAATCCCCAACCCGAGATGGCCCCTCCAGTCCATGAGCCTCGGGCAGAACTGGCGCCTCCAGCCCCACCTTTACCTCCTTTGCCACCCGAGAGGACCAGCGGCATTGGGGACTCAAGGCCTCCATCCTTCCAGTGAGTCCTTCAGATTCTTGACTGCAGGGGAGGGAGGTGAGGAGGGAACCCAGGCCTTTGGTAGGGGACGCCTAGGATCCGGAGCCCTGTTCTCCTGATGTGGGTTGGAAACCATCTCTGCCTGTCCAGCCCTAATGTGTCCAGCAGCCATGAGAATCTGGAGCCTGAGACAGAAACCGAGTCAGTAGTGTCACTGAGGCGGGAGCGGCCTCGCAGGAGAGACAGCAGTGAGCATGGCGGTGAGGGGCAGGCCTGGGGGCCGGGAAGGGCTGGGCCAGACCCCAGCCTTGGTGGGGTGAGCAGGGGGAAGCTTGGTTCTTGAGCTTCCTGTCCATATGTAGCTGGGGGCCACAGGACTGGTGGCCCCTCAAGGCTGGAGCGCCACCTGGCCGGATACGAGAGCTCCTCTACCCTCATGACCAGCGAGCTGGAGAGTACCAGCCTGGGGGACTCGGACGAGGAGGACACCATGAGCAGGTGTGGCTCCGCACAGCTCTCCCCAGCGCACCCAGCCCCGTCTCGTCTTCCAGTCAATCCTCTTGTTCTTTCTCTTGGCCCCATGACCACTTTGGCCTACGTTTGCTCTCCTTCCCAACCTCCTGGTAGGTTCAGCAGCTCCACGGAGCAGAGCAGTGCCTCCCGCCTCCTTAAGCGCCACCGGCGGCGAAGGAAGCAGAGGCCACCCCGCCTGGAGAGGGTGAGGGGTTCCTACAGGAAGGCTGGTGCTGGGAGAAGGTGGGGCATGGGCTTTGGTTTGGGCGGTGCCAGGACACCGGCAGCACCCCAGGGTTGACCCTGGGTTATTGAAGGGCACTCTGGCTCCTTTTCCCACCACAGACGTCATCCTTCAGCAGCGTCACAGATTCCACAATGTCTCTCAATATCATCACAGTCACGCTAAACATGGGTATGGGGAGAGCCTGTGGCTAGGGCGTGGGGAGGGCCTGGTCTCTAGGGTTCCGGGCGTCCTGTGGCAGGGGCTCCTCTTTTCACATGGCCTCTCTCCACAGAGAAGTACAACTTCCTGGGTATCTCCATTGTTGGCCAGAGCAATGAGCGGGGAGACGGAGGCATCTACATTGGCTCCATCATGAAGGGTGGGGCTGTGGCGGCCGACGGGCGCATTGAGCCAGGGGACATGCTTTTGCAGGTGTGCTGGGGTAGGGCCACTGAGCTGCCCTGCACGGGGGCCCTCAGCCTCTCCCACCGTGTCTCTGACCCACTTGCCGTCGCTTCCAGGTGAATGACATGAACTTTGAGAACATGAGCAACGATGACGCTGTGCGGGTGCTGAGGGACATTGTGCACAAGCCTGGGTGAGTTGCCAAGCAGGTTGCCGGTCCTCAGTCCTCTTTTTTTTTCTCTTTCATGTTTTGTTTTGGAATTTTAATAAGTACTAAGACAGCCGGGCGTGGTGGCTCGAGCCTGTAAACCCAGCACTTTGGGAGGCCCAGATGGGTGGATCACCTGAGGTGAGGAGTTCGAGACCAGCCTGACCAATGTGGTGAAACCGTGTCTCTACTAAAAATAGAAAAATTAAGTGGGCATGGTGGCACATGCCTGTAGTCCCAGCTAGTGAGGTGGCTGAGACAGGAGAATCACTTGAACCCTGGGGGGTGGAGGTTGCAGTGAAACGAGATCACGCCACTGCACTCCAGCCTGGGCGACAGAGCAAGACTCCGTCTCAAAAAAAAAAAAAAGTGCTAAGACATAACGTTCAAAGTACATGAAACAAATGCATGACATAGCAAATAATACTAGAGTAAATATCCATGTCACTGCCATCTAGATCATCAAATAGGAGATTGCTGATACCCTAGAACTTCCTCCTCAGATGTCCCTTCCTGCTCCCAAATGCCTCACTGCCCCAGGGGTAGTCACTCTCCTGACTTCTTTGGCCATCACCATAACAAAGAAAAGCTTTGCCTCACTGGATAGTTACCACCCTTGCACGTATCCTTGAACACTGCAGTTTCGTTTTACCTGTTTTTGGACTTTCTGTGAATGGAACTGTACAGCGTGTACTCTCTTGTCTCACTTGGCAGTATGTTTTTAAGAGTTTTCCATGTTGATGAGTCATCCACATTGTGGTGCCTTCCACCCTCACCTTCTCTAGCCCAGCCGCGATGTGCTTGCTTCTCCCCCTCTTTGTGTCTCTTAATCCATCCTTGCTTCAGACCCCCGCCCTCCTGAGGCCTCCTCTTCCCCTGCGCCCTTGACTGGACTTCTCTTCCCCATAGCCCCATTGTGCTGACTGTGGCCAAGTGCTGGGATCCCTCTCCTCAGGCCTATTTCACTCTCCCCCGAAGTGAGTGACACTCAGGGAGGGGCCTGAAGTTGGGGGTGGGGGCTGCCCAGGAGGCTGGGGCCGGGCCTGTGGTCATGGGGAATGGGTGGGAGGAGGGTCCAGGCAGAGGTGGAACAGGAGGCTGAGTCAGGGAGGGACTGGGCTGGCTTTTGGGGACTGAGAATGGGTCATTTTGGTGCCATCTTTGTCCCAGATGAGCCCATCCAGCCAATTGACCCTGCTGCCTGGGTGTCCCATTCCGCGGCTCTGACTGGCACCTTCCCAGCCTATCCAGGTTCCTCCTCCATGAGCACCATTACATCTGGATCGTCTTTGCCTGATGGTGAGCCGCCAGCCCACCTCATCCCACCCTCCCAGCAGAAGGCTGTCCCGCAGTGGTCTGATCCATTGCCCTTGTGGGAGCGATCCCTGACTCTGGTTACCCGTTGTCTCCTCTGCCAGGCTGTGAAGGCCGGGGTCTCTCCGTCCATACGGACATGGCATCGGTGACCAAGGCCATGGCAGCTCCAGAGTCTGGACTGGAAGTCCGGGACCGCATGTGGCTCAAGATCACCATCCCTAATGCCTTTCTGGGTATGGCTGGGTCCTGGGCAGGTGGCTGGAGAAGGGGAGGAGGTGGTGACCAAAGCCAGGAATGGCACAGGCAGAGGCGAGAGCAGGAGTTGGAAGAAGAACCTGAGGCCTTTTTCCACTGTGGGTGCTCCCAGGCTCGGATGTGGTTGACTGGCTCTACCATCACGTGGAGGGCTTTCCTGAGCGGCGGGAGGCCCGCAAGTATGCCAGCGGGCTGCTCAAAGCAGGCCTGATCCGACACACCGTCAACAAGATCACCTTCTCTGAGCAGTGCTATTACGTCTTCGGAGACCTCAGTGGTGGCTGTGAGAGCTGTAAGTCCCCCTGCCCCAACTCTGGGAGTGTGGCTTTGCCTACCTTGTTCTGCCTCTCCAACCCTAGACCTAGCCCAGAAACCGCAGCCAGGGCCACCATGGATGGTCGAGCAGTGTGTGTCCCGCACTAGGTCCTGCACTGGCCGAGGATGGGGGCTGACGTCCACCCATGTGCTGCTGGACAAGCCATGTGCCAGGTGCAGGACTGTGTCCACCGGGGGAAGGTGCACCTCTTACCTGAGTCCCGCAAAGACGTGGGCTAGTGGCTGTGCCCCTGCCCTCATGGCAGAAGTAGATGGGAGTTTCTTGTCAGAGACCCTTGTGAACCCCTGTTTTGAGCCCCATCGTGGGTGGGTCTGGGAGAACTGTTCCCAGTTCCTCTCCATTCGGTGTCTTGGGGCCCTAGCCTCTTGAAGCAGTGATTTCTTCCTCTCTTCCCTTGCTTTCCAGACCTAGTCAACCTGTCTCTCAATGACAACGATGGCTCCAGTGGGGCTTCAGACCAGGATACCCTGGCTCCTCTGCCTGGGGCCACCCCCTGGCCCCTGCTGCCCACTTTCTCCTACCAATACCCTGCCCCACACCCCTACAGCCCGCAGCCTCCACCCTACCATGAGCTTTCATCTTACACCTATGGTGGGGGCAGTGCCAGCAGCCAGCATAGTGAGGGTAAGTCATCCCCACATACCTGTACGGCCAGGATCTGAGGGTGGATGAGAGGGGAGCCAGGGAGGAGCCTGGGTGAGGACTCAGTTGCCCCTCCCCTCCCTCCACAGGCAGCCGGAGCAGTGGGTCGACACGGAGTGATGGGGGGGCAGGGCGCACGGGGAGGCCCGAGGAGCGGGCCCCCGAGTCCAAGTCCGGCAGTGGCAGTGAGTCTGAGCCCTCCAGCCGAGGGGGCAGCCTTCGGCGGGGTGGGGAAGCAAGTGGGACTAGCGATGGGGGCCCTCCTCCATCCAGAGGCTCAACTGGGGGTGCCCCTAATCTCCGAGCCCACCCAGGGCTCCATCCCTATGGACCGCCCCCTGGCATGGCCCTCCCCTACAACCCCATGATGGTGGTCATGATGCCCCCACCTCCACCTCCAGTCCCTCCAGCAGTGCAGCCTCCGGGGGCCCCTCCAGTCAGAGACCTGGGCTCTGTGCCCCCAGAACTGACAGCCAGCCGCCAAAGCTTCCACATGGCCATGGGCAATCCCAGCGAGTTCTTTGTGGATGTTATGTAGCCCACTGTGGGGCCAGGCTGGGCCGGGCGCTCCTGGTGTGTGACTGGGTGTCCTGGCCGTCATGTGCTTGCTCTTACAGTGCCTGGGCTCAGCCTACCAGCTGCTGCCATACAGGAGATTGTGGCCACTGTGACTCTCACCAGCAGTGCCTGGTTCCTCCCCCTTCCCTCAGGGGTAGACAAGGGACCTTTGATTATTTTTAGCTTTGTTTTTTTATAAGCCTTTTTGGGGGTTAAAATAGAGTTTCTTACATTTTTGGGACTTTTTTAATAGGCATTTCCTCTTTTATATGAAGAATTCCCATCCATTGGGCCCCTTCTAACCCCAGAATGTGACCTCCTCCTCCAGTTACCCACAGCCCTGCCCTTTGCAGGGTTGGGGGTGGTCAGCGGTACCCCGGGGTTAGGCATCCTAGACAGCAGCCTGAGGAAGCTGGGAGATTTGGGCCATGTAGCTGCCTTTGTTACTCTATTTATTTTAGTCACTTGTATAAAACACCAAATAAAGCAATAGAGGCAAACTCCCCACGCCTCTGGCTCCTTTCTTTGGGAGGGAGGCAGGCAGCAGGGGGAAAGAACCGTCACACAGGAGCAAAGCATGACTGGCTAGAAATTTTTATTATTTGCGAGGCAGTAAGTGCTCTTGAGAGCAGGCACAGTGCTGGGAACACTAGGCCCCTTCGGGACAAACCAGGGCCTTAAGGAAAGGGGCTTCGGCTTTGGCTTGAGGGAAGGCACATAACTGGGACAGGCCCTGGCCGGGAGTATTCAGAAGCCAAGTGGGTTGCTGGTGACCACACCACCCCGCTCCACCAAGGCCTTGGAGATGCTTTTGAAGTTGCGGTAGAGCTCTTGCTGCCAGGGGTCAGACTGCAGGGCGGCCATGCCCTCTCGGATCCGAGCTGCAGCCTGGGGAGAGGGAAGGAGGGGTTGGGCCTGCACCTCCAGCCCTCACCTGAGCTTGGCAGCCCCGAGTCTCACCTCGATACACCAGGTGTCACAGAGCATTTTCTCATGCTGGGCCGTGGGGTGGCCCTCACTCAGGGATCTTGAGGCCCTGGCAGGAAGCAGGAGATGAAAATAAATCTGGGCCGGCTGGGATCCAGGCCCAGGCCCCCTGCGGCTCAGGCATTCCCTGCCTGCCTCCTCACCTCGAGAGAACCACCACCATGGCATAGAGGTCGATGGCCCCGTCTGCCAGCCGCTGCAGCAGAAACTGTTCATCTGTCCGGTAGGTGGGGTGGGGGTGGGGGTGGGGGCATTAGTCTCAAGGAGAGGAAAGGGAGGGGCGGAATGGTGTAGAGCTCACTTACTGACAATCCCCTTCTTGTGTTTTATCAGCTTGGCCTCCACCACAGTGGCAAACTGCTCCAGAGCCCGTACTGCCTTAAGAGATGGGGACAGTGCGGGGCTCAGAGGGGCCATCGGCTGCAGTCCCTGATGCAGGCTCTCCTGGACCCCTGGCCACTTACCAGCTCGCCACTCCGACTCAACTCCGGGTGGACAAGTCCGCTGAGACTCAGGCCGCTGCCCAGCCCTGCCCGCCTGAGAGGAAGAGGGAGAATGACTGGTTAGTTGCCATACACCACCCTGCCCTCCCCTGGCTCTGGCCCTAAGCCTACCGCCTCAGCTGTTTGCCTGCCTCTCCTAGCAGGAGGCCAGCATTCCCAAAGGGATTCTTTAGAGCACTGCCAAGCCCAGAGAGCTCCTTTCCTTTGTCCTATGGGGGAAGAGGGTCCAGCAGTCAGGACTCACTGTCCTCCCCACCTCTACCCCCACCCAATTCTCTGTCTTACCATACAGCCCTGCAGAGCCACAAACAGCCGAAGAATGTCATTTGTCCCCTCAAAGATCCGGAAGATGCGAAGATCTCGGAGCACACGCTCTACTCCAGGTTCCTAGCACAGGGCCACACAAATTATATGCCCGTGCTGAGATGTGCCTACCCACCCCTGGCCCAGCCGAGGCTCTGCAGAAGACCGTCCTGTACCTTCATGAAGCCCATACCCCCCATGATTTGGATGCATTCATCTGTCACCTTCCAGGCTGCCTCCTAGGGACAAAGAACAGATGAGACTGGTTTTGGGAGCTGAGCACCCAAACTGGACTCCCTCCCAGCATGCCTGGGACCTCACCGAGCCAAAGATTTTGCTGATGGCGGCCTCTATCTGGAAGTCCGTGGCTCCCTGGTCCATGTTAGCACTCACCATGTAAGCCATGGACTGAGGTTGCATAGTTGGGACATGGGAAGGAAAATTGCAAAGGGCTTTGTCAGACTTGGCCTCATCACCCAGATCTCCAAGATAAGGGCTGACCTAGCTTGTCAGGTCAGGCAGATACTTGTTCTGGGTCAGTTCATCAGGTGCTTCCAGGTATTTGTTTTCTTAAAAGGGGTGGATGTAAGGGATGAGGTAGAATTAACTTCTGGTACTGCTGGCAGGCACCTGAGCAGAACATCATTGCTGTCTCTCTTCGCAGAAGCTGAGCTGACTATGCCTCCCCGCATCCCCTAGGGCATTGGTGTAAAGCTGGAGACCCACTGCCCCAGGTGCTGCTGGGGGTTGTAGTCTGACCCGACTGGGAAGAAAGCCCCAGGGCTCCAGGGAGAGGGGCTTGGGAGGCCCTCACCTCAGTTACATACTGCAGCATAACCATCCGTGCCAGCTTCTCCTGGATCAGCCCAAAGTTGTGAATTTTCTCCCCAAACTGGGTACGATTAGTGGCATGATCTACCTGGAAGAGGGTCCACACATCCCGCTGTGGTTCAGTGTGGTTCTGCAGTCTCCCTAGGAGAGGGGCTGGGCTTGCGCCAGAGGGATGGGTTTTGCATACAACCAGAGTTCAGTCTACGCTGGATGGAGACCTAAGCTAGCAAGTCGGGCTGCTGGTAGGGGAGGAGTTTCTAGTGTAGGGAGTGCCTGCAAGTGATCAGGGACACATGGCAAGGGGGACAGTGAGACTTCTGTTTGGGTTACCTAGGGACTCGGGCAGGGTACTCACCGCCTTAGCAATGATGCCTCTCATGGTACCTGCCAGGGCCGCAGCCATGCCAAACCTTCCATTGTTGAGGATGTGCATGGCAACCTTGAAGCCACTCCCAACCTCACCCAGCACGTTCTCCGATGGCACCCGTACTCCATCAAAGAACACCTCTGCTGTGTTTGAAGCCTTGATGCCCATCTTCTTCTCAGGGGGCCCACTGTGTCAGGGCAGTGTGGGAAAGCAGAGGTGTGTTCAACAGGTTGTCACTGGGGGAAAAACTGCTCCTTCGCTCCTTATGCACCAGGGAGGAATGACGACCACTAGACTATTAGAGGCTACAGCCACCACTTCCCCTCAGGCCCTGAGGGCTAAGGAGGCCTGGCTATGTCCTATTTTGTGTTGGACTTGGTTGCTGGAGCCAAAACTTTAGCTCAGTTGCATACATATTAGTCCCAAAGGCCACATTCAGTCCACCTGCTTTGGCTTTTGCACACGTCCCCAGGGTGACTTGCAACAGCCATCTGCCCAGGAGCCCAGTCCTGCCCCTCAGTCCTAAGCTCCCCCAACCCAAATTCACTCACTGGGTAATGCCCCCGAAGCCCCTCTCCACCACAAAAGCTGTGATCTTCTCCTTCACGGCTCCTGTGGCTGGATCTGTAACTGGTGTCTTGGCAAAGACCGTGAAGATGTCTGCTAGGCCCCCATTACTGTGGAAGAATGGGATATTCAGGGCGTGGAGGACGGGGAGCAGTGGGGCCTGGAATTGGGCGGAGGAGAAGGGGAGAAATGGGAGGCAGGTTGCCTGATCCAAAGCTTGCTTCCATTGAGGGTATAGTATTTTCCACAGGGGCTGGGCACAGCAGAGGTTCGGATGGAGGCTGCATCTGACCCGCTTGAGGGCTCGGTTAGACAGAAAGCGGCCACAGTCTCCCCTGTTGGGGAGAGAGCTACTTTACCCCAAGTTCTGATGAGCTTCAAAGTCCCCTCGGCCCACTTCCCCATCCCTCCAGCAGGCAGTTCCCCCTTAACACCTGGGAGTATCCAGTTCTTTTGCATGTCCCAACCAGCACACTGTGATGCCTCCCCAAAACCTTCCCCCAACTGAAATGCTCAGCCATCTGATAATCTAAGTGCCAACTGGCCTAATCTGTGCCAAGCCCAGTGTGCCCCCCAATCCCTGGCTCTCCTAGGGTTGCCTCACCAGATGCCAGCTTGGGGAGGTATTTTTCTTTCTGGGCCTTTGTGCCAAAGAGCAGGATGCCTTTGAAACCGATGCTCTGATGGGCCCCCAGGGTAATGCCCACGCCAAGGTCATGCATGCCCACGATCTCCACCAAACGGGCGTACTGGAGGGGAAGCAGGAATCTGGGGTTGTCACTGGCTGCAGGGGGACCTGACCTTAACAGGAGAGTGTGGGCAACAGGGCAGTTCCTGACCTAGGGCAGTTCCTGACCTAGGGCAGTGCCTGACCTGGGCCATCCCCAGTGTGTAGAAAAGAAGTGGGGTGTGCAAAGGGCACAGCAGAGAATGCTGGTCTGTCTTAGGTCTAGGTAGGAGGGTGACTTGCTACTAGTCAGTCTATTGTTAGGCAATCCCCAACTTAGAGATTTGTAAGGACTTGGGAACCAGGGTGAGGCCCATGGCTCAGGCCTAGGGGACTGCATGTAAATTGTGTTATGTTTGGACAGTTAACATCCATCCCACAGGCACCCAGGGCAGGTGCTTAGAAGAGACCTTAGCCCTAGTCTCTAGGTCTATGGCAAAAGAGCTGAGTCTGCCAAGCTGGGGTATGGCATACTGGGATGTGGCGATAGGGCGCCCTCACCTGGGTGTTGCAAAGGCCCACACCACCCAGCTCACTGGGCACTTGCAGACCAAAGGCCCCCAGCTCCTTGAGGCCCTGCCAAGTGGTCTCCTCCACCATCTCCAGAGCGTCATTCTTGGCGGGATCGTTCACTTCCTGGGGAAGGCACAGGATCCCACATCCAGGCTCCTTTTGAGCTTAACATCTCCAAACACCTCACCAGGGACCAAGCCCCGAGTCATTCCTTACCTCGAAGAAACGGGACACAGGCTCCACCAGCTCTTTAAGAAACTGTGTCTGCTCTTCGTTGAGCACTGCAGAGGGTGGGGGACAGGCTGGTCAGGCCAGGCTGGCAGGGGAAACCACCCTGGCCCCACCCAGCTCTGATTATCCCTTCCCTTACCGGACGGGTATGGGAACACCTGATCTGTGGTGAGCTGGCCTTTGAACATTCCCACAGCAAAGGACTTAGATTCCTGGGCAGAGAGAGGCAAATTTCAGGGCTCTGGTTGGGTCTGGCTAAGGTCCACCTGGCCTCGGGGCTACCTACCGCCTTGGCCGGTTTTTTCCTGGTCAGAGCGTCAGAGGGGTGGGAATCTGACTTGTCCAGAGCCAGCTGGGAAAAGAGACGGTTAGCAAGTTCAGGGAAGGGACTTCCGCTGTGTCAAGGGGAGAACAGGCGAGAGCCGCGCGGGGAGGCGGCGCGAAGCGGTGACCTTTCCCCTAGTTTCGCCCTAGGGCACCCTGGCTTGCCCTTTCCCCTACTTTCGGCGACTGAGCAGTAGGCAGGTACCTGGCACCAAGAGGGAGATCCCTGCCGATGGCGGGCGCCGAAGCGGACCGCCGCTCCCACACCCCCTTGCCAAGGCTGCGGTGACTTACCTGAGCGGCACCCCCGGCATAGGGCCGCCGGGCAGGGCCGGGCCGGGGCTGCCCCAGGAGCGCCGTGAGCCGCGAGCTGTGGGGAGTGGGGGTTCAGTGCCGGCCCGGTGCCCAGGGCCGCTGCCCACCGTCCCTCTTGTCACACACAGACCTTCCGCCCCCGAGCCTCAGCAGCTGCCGCCCCAAGCTCGCGGCCATCCGAGCCGCCTGCATCTCCGAATCTCTCCGGGCGCCGCTGGCTCGAGCTCTGACCCAGCTCTGGCGTCCTGCACGCCCACGTCCTGGCGCCCCTAACCCTGACTCATCGTCCACAGTGCACCGGGCGGCGGACGGTTGCGGGCCCCGGGGCATGCTGGGAGCTGTAGTTCCCTGGAGCCCGGCCCTGCGTTCCGCTGACTTAGAGGGATCTCCAAGCGTCCCTCGTCTCCCCCAAACTCCTTAATCCCGCCCGTCCGACCTAGAGTCTAGTCCTCCGACGGGGTGATGGGATAGGATGGGACAGAAGAGGAAGGGGCTTAAGTCACTGCAGCCAGAGGGATGGAGGTGGACTGAAGGGAGGGCTTCTCCGGTGGGGTTAGAAGGGAAAAGTAGGGAAAGAGAAGTGTAAGGTAGATGGCAGAGGCAGAGACATGGAAAGACAGACTCTAGGGTTCCTGATGAAATCTATCTCGGCCAACACAAAAGGGAGGGTACAGTGGTGGGGGGCACCCAAGCTAGGGTGTGAGTACCCTAAGTGTATTCTTCTGAGATGTAGGCCATTCACTAACTCTTGGAACAGCTACAGTTTCACAGTAGGAAGACCCCCCCAGATTCACTGCCCCTCCCTTAGTAAAGCCTCTGAGACCTTCCTGAACATTCCCTTCTGTCTTTGCCCTCTGTTCCTTCCAGAGACCATGTGCCCAGGCAGATGGATTCCTCCCGGGCCTGAGAGGAACTGCAGGAATTCTCCTGCCTCTTACCCGTAAAACCCCAACTTCTCTAGCCCTAGGGCAGGAAGTCCCAAACAATTTCTACCCCTTTTTCTGCAATTCTCATTGGGGTGAGAGGAGGCCCAGGAGGAGAGAGAGCTGGGCTCAGCTTCTTTTTGAGCTGCTGGAGCCCTCTGTGAGGAGGCCCTCTTTGCTGGCTTCTCAGGAGAGCGTGGCTAGGTTCTGCCTGCCTATGGGAAGAGGGGGCCAGGGTGTGTGGAGCAAGATGGTGGCGGTGCTGGTGCCTTGGGACCTGGGGGAATGGGACAGCTGGTCGGCTCAGAGACGGCCTACTTTACTCACAGCTGGAATTTAGTGGGGAGAAGCAGCTCAACTCCAATCCTGGAGGATTAGGGAGATTAAAGTGAGAGAAGAGAGAGATGTCCCAGAGACCAAGAGGTGAAAAACAGGGCTCCTTGTGGAGGGGAGGTCTGGGAGCGAAGTGGGGGGCTGGGGCTCGGAGATCCTTCTCCCCAAATCTTTCCGTAGGGGCTGGGGTGAAGGGCACAGTCTGGGGAGATGAAGTGACAGTGTGTTCATCTTCCTGTGTTGGCATCTTCCCTGTCCCAATTCTCCTTGCATCTCACTAGCTCCCAGGTCAGCCCTCTGGCTCCTGGCACCCCCACTGCTGCGGTGGGCACCCCCACTCCTCACAGTGCTGCATAGCGACCTCTTCCAGGCCTTGCTGGGTGAGTAGCCCGTTTTCTGAGGGACCTGGGCCTCCAAGGGCCATTACTGAACTTCGGGGGCTGTTTGGGAGCCCAGAGATCATTTGGTCCAAGCTGGAGCACCATGCAGGGTCCTGCCTATGGTGTCCTCCATGAGTGTGGACCAGCCTTGGCTGAAAGGGCTCCTCCCTTGCCAGCCAGCCAGCAGCGGTGATGACAGGGGTGATGTGCCTGGAGAGGCCTGGGGTGGGGAGGTAACTCAGTTCTGTTCCTGTGACAGACATCCTGGACTATTATGAGGCTTCCCTCTCAGAGAGTCAGGTAAGGAGGTGGGGGCGAGCGCCTAACTTCCTGAGGGGCAGGCAGGGCTGGAGGGGTGAGCCAAATATCACTAATATTACCTGGAATCTTGGGGGCCCTGCTGACAAAAGCCTGAGTCAGTGGCCCAGGGACTTGGGGCACCGAGAATGCACTCTCTGTGGTCCTGTACCCACTCTCCCTTTCTTCCTCGTTTTCTTTGGCTGCCCCAGTTTCAGGCACTAAAGAGTCTAGGGCTTAACTTTTTAGGTTTCCCCCTGAGAAACCTGAGGGAGAACTAGGCCCCCAGGGATTGCCTCCTTCAGCTCCTCCCTCACACCCGACCCCCTACCGCCTGCCGAGAGGCCTCCCTCCCGTATTCAAATAACCGTGGGTGCTCCCAGCCCAACTATAGATGCTTCCTTCTCTAAGAAATGAAATCCAGCCTCATCGTCTTTGCTGTCATCGCTGGTGGCTGGCCAGGTCTCCATGTTTGCCTCAGGGGCCTCTGTGCTTCTGCTTCTATCTCCTTTCCCATTATCCGGGTTCCTGCCAGCACAGAAGGAGTTAACTCTGCCAAGGCACCCCCCCCATTCTGGCTCCTAGCTCCCTCCCTCCCTCCCCCTGCTTCCTCTCTCCTCCTCTCTCCCCTTCCCTCTTCGGCTCCACGGCTCCCTCGGCCGCTGCCGTTTCCAACCCCCCCACCCCACTCCCCCGCCACGGCCCCTAGCCCCTGGCCGTTTGGCAAGACCCCCCCCTACCCCGGGGCTCCCCGAAATCCAGTTCCCCTCCCCCACCCCAGCTCATGCCCCAGCCCCCGAACTCCGGGGCTGCCAGCCCCCGGTGCCCCCGCCCCTCCTGAGAATCGGGGTGTGCTCCCCAAGCCCCCTCCCCTCCACTGGGGAGCCCCTTTTAGGGCCCCCTTCCCCTCCCTCCCACGCTCCCCTCCCCTTCCCTTCTCCAACCCCCTCCTTCCCCTCTCACCCCTCCCCCCATCCTGGCCCCCCCTGCAAAAGTGGGGTGCGGAGGGGGGAGGGGTGAGAACCCACGGAGGGGAGGAACGAAACTCCGATGAAGTCAGAGCCCCTTACCCGCCGCCGCGGCCAGGCCCCCCAACATGGACTGTCTCTGTATAGTGACAACCAAGGTAAGCATGATGGGGGGGCTATAAACTGGGGGGAGGGTATGAGTTTGTGGGGAGGGGTTAGTAGGCCTTATCTGGGACTGGCGCCCCTGGAGTGGCAGCATCAGAAGTAAGATGTATTTGGGGGTCTTAATTTAGTTTTGGGGTTCACATCTGAGAAAATGCAGGATTTGGCCACAGGTGCCCCCTGGAGTGATCCCTTTGTACCTGTAGGGATATGGAAAATTTAGGATATTCCATGGTTCGGGGGGCCTGGCGGGTTTGGGGGTTCATCAGCGCTGTTTGAGGGAGACTTATTTAAGGAGAAGCCTGGCTCATAAGGGAGTCCTGCTGGTGTATGTGGGAAGGTGGGCTATGTTGGGGGGTTCCTCTTTCCTCCCCAGGGAAAAGCTGGCTTCCAAGGGCCTTGTCCAGTTTTGGGGGGCTCCTGGCATGGGGTAAAGGTTATTGGTTGTGAGTGCCTGACTGATCTGGGGGTGTCAGCTGGCAGGGAAGGGGTGGGCCTTCAGACTCTAGAACAAGCATCTCGTGGTGGCTGCATTTAGGGATGCTCTCTCAATTTGAGGGAACTGTTAATTTAGGGTTCAGTCATATAGAATGGAGGTAGTTGGAAGTTGTCAGAGGGCTGGGGCCCTGGCATGGGATCACCTGAGGGAATGGACCAGGTGAGGCAAGGATTTGGGGGTACTCCCATAGGAGGCAGAAGATTGCAGCAGCCGAGCTTGCCAGCCCCTGAGGAGGAGGATGAGAGGCTTAGGGAGAGAGGGGATTTGAGGAGGGGGACCGGGTGGGTGGTGCACAATTTGGGGGTGGCCCAAAGGCAGGTGCCCAATATCCCCATCTCCTCCCACACTGTATCTAGCCCTGATCAAGAGAGAGGGAGAAGAGCAGATGTGGGGACTGTTCCAGATACCCCTGACGCTTGGGATCAAGGTGGGGGAGGACACCTGGATTTAAGGGTCCCTGAGGGCTTATGACCGAAGTTACTGAGGTTACTGGGGTGAAAAGGTGTAGGAGGAGGGCAGGGCTGGCAGCGATGGGGATCTGTGCAAGAGTGTCCCTCTGGTTGGAGCCTGGCAAAGGCAGGAGATCTCGGATGGAGCACAGGCGAGCTCCTGGTGGGATGCAGATACCTAGGCTCTCCTTGGAGACTCTGGGACTGGAGAGCTGGATGCCTGGTGTGTGGAGGGAGGCTTGGGCGGGTGGCAGGCAGCTGGGGGCTGGGGGGTGGGACAGGAAGTGGGGGCCGGGGGAGGCGGGGTCCGGGTGAGTCACAGGCTGGGGAGGGGGTTATATTTAGTGGGAACTGCAGCTTTTCATGGGAGGGAGCTGAGGACACACATGTTCCCTGCCACAAACTCACACATGTGTGTACACATGCATTGTGCACGTGTGAGGATGGTTGGAAGAGATTGGGGGCTGAGGACCTTTAGATCTGGAGCCCCCACCCTCTCTCCACCAGGGCGACTTTCTTGTCCTTCATTCTGTGGGTTTCGGGCTTTCTCCCAGGCTGCCTCTTCCCCACATCCCCTGTAGTTTCGGTGGATTTTTATGCCTCAGTTTCTCTGGCCTGGTTTCCTCTGCTCCCGCTGTCTCCTGCCCTTAGGCCTGTCACTTGGCCTTAGGCTCCATGGCTGTGGTCCCCTGCATTCCAGGTGTAAATAGAAAGCCCGCTGGAATGTGTGGGCTCTGCTTCCAACACGTGAACACACAAATGGGAGCGAGGGTGAGGGGCTTGCCAGCAGGCAGCTATTCTGGGTGGGTGGGTGGCCTTATTCATTACCCACTCCAGACTCCTACTTCTTCCATGGAGCCCAGGGTTGAGCATCCCTGAAGGAAGGAGGCTTACAGAGCAGATCATGCATTTGGGGTTTACAGAGGCGTGGAGACCCAGGCTTGCCACATTCCTTGGCTGGAAAACTTGTCAGCCTCGGTATGGTGGGGACTCCAACTCCCATAAGGCCCCGAGGCACCAGATCCCTCAATGTTAGAGGGTTGCTGCCCATGGCGCTGTTGGGAGTTGTGGTTCATCTCTATCCAGGGCAGCCAGCGGAGGGTAGCCCAAGAGGAGCCTGCAGGGGGCACATGGCTCCTGCTTCCCCAAATGCTGGATGGGGTAGGGAGTGCTCAGGCTTTGCGGTCGTTGAGCTCCCCAGCTCTGCCTGAGTCTTCCATCTTTCATTGCCTATATTTAGACTCCTGCCGCAGTAATTTAAGGAACATTTATTGAAAGCCTACTGCGTGCTAGGCCCTGTGTTGTGTGCAAACTCCACTCTACAGCGATCACTTTGTCTTTCTTGGTGCCTTTATCTCTGCCAGAATCTCTCGTCTCTGAGCATCTCTTTCTCCCACTCCGCCCCCGTCCCTCCCCCTTTCCCCGCGCTGCTGCCGCCGTTGCCATGGTAACCGGCGACGACTGAAGCTGCGTGGCGGACTGGAGGGCCGGGCGAGGGTGGCGGAAGGCGGAGCAGAACAAGTGGGGGTGGGGATACAGTGGGGGAAAGACTGAGGCTATTTGCCAGAGCCCCAGGAGCGAAGCGGTTAAACCCTCCGGGTGGTCCTTATTGGGCAAAGCCGAGATGCCGGGGGCGGGGCAGTGTGGCCGACGGCCTCATTCATTGGCCGTCAGGGGCGTGGCGGAGGGACAGTGTGGGCGAGGCAGGGGGAGCGAACGGGCGGGAAGTGGACGGAGGCGTGGCCTCCCGGGCAGGTGGGTGGGGTCTGGCTTACTCTATCGAGGGAGGCAGCAACCTTCGGAAAGGGGAGGAACCTTGGGGCTGGGTTACCTGACCGAAATGAGGGCGGGGCTGACCTGGGATGGGCGTGGCGTGGCCCCCCGTGCGTAAAGGAGACAGGGTTTGAGGAGCTATTGTCCAAGTAACTTCAGGGCGCGGGGGTCTTTGGAAAGGAGAATCCGGGGGTTGGGAAGTCTGACGTCTCAATTTTCCTAAGATGGAGGTCTGTTCAGATTTCATCAGAGCACCCCTCCTACCTCAGCTCTGTGTTCCCAGGAGACGGTTGCTAGGCGACGGCAAAGTCCTTGATTGCTGCGTTGCCAGGCAACAGAGAAACGGAAAATGGAGGGAAAAGGGAAATGGGGGATGGGGAAGGGTCTTTATGGGCCATGGCGCCCACTGGTGGATAAGCAGGGCCTGCAGGTTTTCTATTCTAGAAGGAAATTTGAGTCCAGCCCCTTCCGCACTGACTCCTTGGATCCTCTGGTGATCCAAGCCTTCCTACCAGATATGAAACTAGGACATTGGGGGTCATCTTGGGGGCGCATGTAACAGATGCCGATCAACGGGGTCAATCTCGCTTGGGTGAGATTCTAGGGAAGTCGTCATTTCTACCATGTATGGGCATTTTATAGAAGTCAGCCGATTTGAGGAGACCCCTCACTGGGTTTTAAGAGCTGGAAGGGTGGGCGTTCAATGGGAGAATATTTGGAAGAGAGGCTTTCAGGTTAAGTTGTTTGGGAGAAAATGGAAATCTCTGAAGAGACCTGAAGGAGGCGGTTGGGAGTGTTCTGGACGATTTGTGGGTCATTGCAGATTGCCGGCCGTATCTTTGGTGTGTATTTTTTGAGGCCTGAGTGTGGAGAAGATATATTTGGGAGCAATCTTCCGACAAAGTTGGAATTCAGAATCGTGGAGGGGATGTTCTGGGCAGACAGAAAAGGGTGTAATCTATGAACCTCAGGGGTAAAGAAAAGGAGAGGAGGTGCCGGGTGCGGTGGCTCACACCTGTAATCCCAGCACTTTGGGAGCCCGAGGCGCGCGGATCATGTGAGGTCACGAGTTCGAGACCAGCCTGGCCAACATGGCGATACCCCGTCTCTACTAAAAATACAAAAAAATTAGCCGGGCGTAGTGGCGGGCGCCTGTAATGCCAGATATCCGGGAGGTTGAGGTAGGAGAATCACTCGAACCCGGGAGCCGGATGTTGCAGTAAGCCGAGATCGCGCCATTGCACTCCAGCATGAGCAACAGAGCGAGAATCTGTCTCAAAAAAAAAAAAAAAAAAAAGAAAGAAAGAAAGAAAAGAAAAGGAAAAGGAAAATACTTTTAATTAATTAATTATTAATTTTTGAGACCGAGTCTCACTCTGTCGCCTAGGCTAGAGTGCAGTGGCACGATCTCGGCTCACTGCAATCTCTGCTGCCCAGATTCAAGCCATCCTCCTGCCTCAGCCTCCCTAGTAGCTAGGATTACAGGCGCCTGCCACCGCGCCCGGCTAATTTTTGTAGTTTTAGTAGAGATGGGGTTTCACCATCTTGGCCAGGCTGGTCTGGAACGCCTGACCTCATGATCCAACCGCCTCGGCCTCCCAAAGTGCTGGGATTACAGGTGTGAGCCACCGTGCCAGGCCAAAATTTTTTTTTTTAGAGATGGGATCTCACTATGTTGCCCAAGCTGGTGTTGGGCACCTGGCCTCCAGCGATCTTCCCGTCTACATTTCTTTTTATAAGAGTTTTGGAAAAAATTGACGAGATTGCTATTTAATTTGGAGGGTCTGCTTTAAAGTAGATTAAATATTTCCTGAAATTGGGTTCTGGTGTGGATTTGGAGACTGGCATATTAGGAAGTCATGAGTATCTTATTAGATTCG
The DNA here is from genome assembly GCF_000001405.40 of Homo sapiens. Taxonomy (NCBI): domain Eukaryota; kingdom Metazoa; phylum Chordata; class Mammalia; order Primates; family Hominidae; genus Homo; species Homo sapiens. The sequence goes on along the minus strand of NC_000017.11, from coordinate 7,212,512 downwards.
GGGGTTTGGACAGGGGATCCCCAACAAATTAGAGGACTTGTTATTTGGATGTTTATATTAGAGCAAGAGTAATATTTGCACTAATTGCAACATCCCTGTTAGTGGATTGGGAGATAGATGTGATATAGAAAGGGATGATTTAGCATATATTAATTTGGGGGGCCAACAAGGCTCTGTGGTTCCTTAAACTCTTGAAGAAACATGGGCTGCCTATCAGGTGGGGCTGGACTGCAGGGGAGAACTATGCTGGTTAGAGTAGGAGATGCCTTGGAATCTGAGGAGATGCTATCCACAGCACCAATCTTGCGGGGGTTTGGTGGGAGAGGCAGTGTAGATCCCTTGGGGGTTCTTGTGAGAGAAGTGCTGTTTGTTTCCCTGGACTCTGGGAGGCCAGTAGTGACGAGATGTCCAGTGAGGTTTTGGAATGGTTTGGGGTCTCGCGATGTTGGGGTTGGGGGATTAGATGGGATGGAATAAGGGGTCCCTGAGAACTAGAGAGATAAACTGGTAAATTTAAGTCTGTCTTTAATTGTAGAGGGGTCGGAATAGAAGTATACTGTGGAAAGTGAAGTTCACAGAGAAACAGCGTGAACCAGGGAAGTTGGTGGCTAAGAGGGTCTCCCCTCACCCCTCTCTCCCAACGTGACGCTCTTCCTTACTGCGCAGGCGCCGTCACCCCCCCCCCCCCCCCGCCGCAGCCTCCAGTTGCCGCGGCCGCCGCAGCCCCCGCCCCTCTGCCCCTCCCCCTCCCCCAACCCCCGGGACCCTTGATATCCCACCTACCCCCTTCCCTCAGTCCCCCTCCCCTTCTCCATGTCGGCTCGGAACAGATTCGCCTCCATGTGTCTCTGCGTGGTACGTGCCGCGGTATGGGCTCCGGCCCGCTCCCCCTTCCCGGACCCCCGCAAATATCAGGGTGCAAGCTTCAAGCGCTGTCGCTCTTCCTTCTGCTTGGTGCGGGGTCTCTGGGTTGCAACTTCTCGTGGACAGGCGCCGTGGGTCGCCCCTCTTATCATTCACTTTGACTCACACCCCTATGTTTTGGGGGTGCAAGCCTCAGTTCCAGGTCATTCTGTGCAACTGGGGCTCTGGTGAGGAGGGGGCCAAAGGGGAAGGAACAACAGCGACTCCGTCCGTGTCCCCCATTCCCCAGGCCTTTTACTTGTTTTAAGCCCTAATATATTGGGGGTGCAGATATGTCCCAGTAGCATCTGAGTTGTCTGGGTTAGGGCCCTGAGTCCCAGTAGGATAAAGGATGGGGGGGGTCCTCCTTTCCCGTCCTGCTTTAGTTGCCCTGTAATCCAAGACTGAGAGGTGCTGATCCCCCACCGCCCCAGCCCCCCAGTCTGCAGTTTCAGAATTACTCTCCCCCGCCCCCACCCCCACCCCTCCCGACGTTTCTCCCCGCCCCCCTACATGTACGTCGAAAATTTCCAGAGACTGAACCTAGTCCCTAACCTCTTCCAGCCACATTCTGGAAACCCTGGCACCCATTTCTTGTTCCCCATTTTCTCCATGTTGCCTCCCAATCCTGAGGAGCCTTTTCTTCAGTGCCAGACACCACCCTCCCTCCATGGGGGTGGGGCAGGGAGAGGTATTGGGGGCTCGCTGAGATAAAAGTTTACCTTCATTTCCTCCCTAGAATAAATGATGAAATGGCCCTCCTCATGTTTCCATTTTCTTTGGGTGCACGCTGACATTTCCTCCTCAGATTCAGGAATTTTCTCTCTGAGGTGGAGTGAAGATGGAGAGGCACTGGACTCAAACCCTCCCCCAGACTCCAAAACTTGGAGCTTTGGTCCTAATTTACCTTGCAGGGAATTGGAGGCCTTGTGAAGGAAGAGTGGATAGCGGAGAGCGGCTTCCACCCCTTCCCCCAGGTCTCAATTCTGGGGCTTGCCCCTCAGCTTGTGCACTGCCCAGGTAGAAGACCACCTTCTCAGGATGTGGAATGAACAGTCTCTGTTGGTTCATAGAACTCCTTTATTCAAGACAGCTCAGCCTTGGAGGAGGGCTATTTTGTGTGTTCTCCTATTTTCCTTCTCTACTTTTTGTGCCCATCGGATTGAAATCTGGAGTTCAGGATTCTCTCCAAGTCTGTGGCCCAGAGAATAGACTCAATCTTGCTGAGCCCGTTTTCCTTCTTTAAGACTCTTTAAATGTATCAGGGTGCTTCTTGATTTGAGTTGTCTCTGTGTTCTGGGTTTGAGAGTTTTCGTGCTGACAGGACCACTTCCCTTCTCCCATTCTCTTACTGTACCCTTACTCTACAGCCAAAGTTGTGTTATATTCTCAGCCTTGATTCATCATCTTTAACATTTTCAGAATCCTACTCAAGGATTGGCCATTGACCTTGATAAGCTTCCTCCCATTTGATCTCGCAGCTGCTGCCCTCTAAGTATTAGGGCACTCTCAGCCTCTCAGAAACTTTTGGGAGGGAAATTCTGCTCGCCCTCTCTCTTTTTTGTTTTGGAGATGGAGTCTCACTCTGTCGCCAGGCTAGAGTGCAGTGGCATGATCTCGGCTCACTGCAACCTCCGCTTCCCAGGTTCAAGCAATTCTCCTGCCTCAGCCTCCCATGTAGCTAGGATTACAGCCATGTGCCACCACGCCCAGCTAATTTTTGTATTTTTAGTAGAGATGGGATTTCACCATGTTGGCCAGGCTGGTCTCTGACCTCAGGTGATGTACCCACCTCGGCATTATAAGCATCAGCCACTGCTCCTGGCCTCTCTCTCTTTTTGAGACAGGGTCTTACTCTGTTGCCCAGGCTGGAGTGCGGTGGCGTGATCATGGCTCACTGCAGCCTCCACCTCTTGGGCTCAAGCAATCCTCCCACCTCAGCCTCCTTAGCAGTTGGGACTACAGGTGTGCACCACCATGCCTGGCTAATTTTTGTATTTTTTGTAGACAGGGTTTCACTGTGTTGCCCAGGCTGGTCTCCAACTCCAGCTCCTGGGCTCAAGCTGTCTGCCTGCCTCAGCCTCCCAAAGTGCTGGGATTGCCGTGCCTTCTCTTTTTACCCATGTGTACTGGGCGGTGCATTCTGTCTTCTTCAGTTCCTGAGGGATCCCTGCGTATGATACCTTCCCCTTCCTGAACCTGGAGCTTGGAGGGTCAGTCTCTGTGGAGGCCCGTTCCAGAGGAGAGGAGCAGGCGAGGGCAGAGGCGGACACGGAAGGACCCAGGCAGAAACGCTGTCTTCTTCTGCTGTCTCCATCTGCCCTTTTCCTCCTTCTCTGGCCCCCAGTTAATCTCATTTTACTGTTGTCCCTATTAAGCTAGCACAGGAGGCCCTTGGGATGGCAGCTGATTAACTGGGCAGGGAGTCAGGGGTCATGTTGGGCCTTTCACCCCAAAAGAGCAGAGGGAGACCAGAAATTCACTCTGAGGCTCAGCATGCTACCCTCCTCCCCAACCAGGGAGGCTGGCACCCATTCTTGCCCCTGTCCTGAGCCCTGCTGTCTCTGTTCTTCCCCTTCCTCCCCCAGCCCATGCCCTTATAGCATAACCGGATTAGCTGGCTGGGCTGTGGGCTGTTGCAGGGGTAGGGCCAGACTCCCGGGGCCCCTCTGTTGACTGCTTGGAAACCAGCAAGGGCAGTGAACTGGACAGGCTTAGCCTTGTCCTGTCTCGGGGGCTGATACCAAGTACCTTCTGGTGGAAGGGGTGACTTCAGTCCTTGCCTAAGGAGTGCAAGGTAAAGGAGAGCCAATCACCTGTGGGGTAGAGGCTGCAATGGGGAGACTGAGGCCATGGAGGTGGGGCGCGGGGAGGATGCCATGCAGAGTAGGAGCAGCCAGAGGGGTAGGGGAGGGGAGGCTAGAACAAGAGTGAGTCTGAGATGGTGAGAGAAGCAAGGAAGTTGGGGACTGGAGGCAGAGAATGGAGATGTGAGTGTCGGGGCTAGAGCTCTGAGAAGCTGGAGGGACTCGAAGATGAAGGTGGTGGGGAAAGGGGTGAAGACACAGATGCCAGAGGGGCTATGCCCACCAGAAGGCCAGTGTCCCAGGATGTGAGGAGTAGGAGTTGGGGGATGGGATTGGGACCTGGGGATTGATGAGAGGTGCTGAGGCCCTGGCGGGAGAGGGGGCTGTTGGGAGAGTGGAGAGAGGGGAGCCAATGGGCTAGAGGAGAGGGAGGGGGAGGAGCTGGTCAGGCCCCAGGGCCTTCCGCACTGCACTGGCTGGGGGAAGAGGCGGCGGCCAGGGCGGCCAGCCTGGAGCCTGAGGCACCGGGCTGGCCCCAGTGACACCTCCGTCCCCATCCCCAGAAATACCGCTACCAAGATGAAGACACGCCCCCTCTGGAGCACAGCCCGGCCCACCTCCCCAACCAGGTAAACGCCCCCGAGCTGGTGCACGTGGCGGAGAGGAACTTGTCCCACCTCGAGGCTGGCCACGGGGTCGTGGGCCACGCCCACCTCTCCCCCTTCAAGGTAGGAGACCCTGGTGGCCCCCTCCCCAGTGCGGCCCTCGGAGCCTCGGAGCTGCAGCAATCCCTAAGGGCCGGTAGGGTGAGAGAGAGCCGTGGGGAGGGGGATGCTGGGACTGGGGGCGGGGGTTTGGGGCTTGGGCTCCTGGGGTCTGGGGGAGGGGGCGTTTGTGGGGCTGGAAACACCTTGGTCCCACAGAGGAGAAACAGGCCAGGCCAATGGGAGTGGATGTAAAGCCTAAAGCAAGAATGTGTGTGTGCGCGCGTGCCTGTGCGCGTGTGCTGTGTGTGTGCCTGTGCGTGTGTGCATGCATGCGTGCCTGTGTGTGTGCTGTGTGTGTGTGTGCGTGCGTGCGCCGTTTGTGTGCCTGTGCGTGTGCTGTATGCGTGTGTGTTGAGGTGTGTGCATCCCCCAAGAGGCCCCCACGCCTGGGACCTCTTCATTCCTTCACACCCCCAACCTCCATTTCCATTTTCTGTGTCCAGAGCTCTGTTCCAAGCGCCTGCTGCCCTCATTTGCTCTTGTCCCTTCCCCGCCTCCTCCCCCTACCTCCGCCTCTGGGCCTGGCTCGCCCTGTCCCCAAGTCTCCAGCTCTTTCCATCTGTCTGGCCTGAGACTTCACATGGTGGGGCCTTGCTGCCTCGTCCCCTGCCCCAGCTTTGCTCCACTCCTGAGTTCTCTTCCCCCTCTGCAGCCTTTCCTCCCTGCTGGCTGGCTGGCTGGCTGGCTCTTGATGCTGTCTCTCTCTTCCTCCCACGCATTCTCCTCTCCCTCTCCCTGATCCCCAGCCCAGGCCGCTGGGGCCTGATCAGTCCTTTCCCTCATCAGTCCTCTCCCTCCATCAGCCAGCTCCCCTTTCCCATGTTCCCTCTTGCCTATTCATCTTCACCTTCCCTCTTTTCCTCCTCCCCTCTCTCATCCTCTTGGGTTCTCACCTCTGCCATATCTTCTTTCTATCCCCCTCTGCCCCCTCCATCATCCCCCACCACCTGTTTCCCTTTCTCCTCTCTGCTCACAGCGTCCTCCTCTCTCCAGTCCCGGGAGGCCTGGTTTCTGGGACCTTCCATTCTCCAGTCCACTTTCCATCTTCCCCTTCCTCCATCTCCTCTTCTGGGGACACAGGATGGGGAGGACTGGAGAGCACCAGGCAAGCTGTGAGATTGAGGGGACACTGTGGGGTCAGGGTGGGGATTCTAGGATGTTGTGGGATGCTCTGGGAAGGGGGAGGTTGCTGACATTTCACCAAGAAGATGGGGAGGAGGTCTCTGAGCCTAGGGAGCGGGCAAGCAGGTTCTGGAGTTAGAACTGGCAAGAGAGGAGTTGGGGGATAGGAAGGGTAAGAGGTCCTGGGTCAGGGGCCAGATAGGGATAAGACTGTGAGATCAGGGCAGTGAATGAGGCTGACAGAGCAAGGAAAGGAAGGCCCTGGAGACAGGGATGGTACAGAGTGTTTGTGCGAATTCTGTGGATGCTAGGAGTGAGGGAAAGAAGACTAGAGATGCTTTGTGCAAGGCAGGGCCATTAAATCCCTGAGCAGGGGGAAGAGGAGGTAGGGAGCCTGAGGGGTGGTAGTTAGTACAGAGCTGCTGCTGATCAGAGCTCAGGAGCAGAAGGGGGTGGAGGGAGAGAGTGTTGGAGGCCATAAGCATGGGGTGGAGGTCTCAGGACAAGGCCTCACCTGGGGAACAGGAGAAGCCCCAATTTTCAGAAGAGAGGGGAGTTGATTGAGAAGTGTAAGATTGTTACTTGAGAATAATCTTGAGGGTATGAAGGTAGGGTAAGGGAGAATGGTGATAAACTCTCTGGGGAATCAGAAATTGAGATGGAGTAGCTGGGTGGGGTGGCATGTGCCTGTAGCTACTCAGGAGGCTGAGGTGGGAGGACTGCTTGAGCCCAGGAGTTCAAGGCCGCAGTGAGCTATGATCACACCACTGCACTCCAGCCTGGGTGACACAGCGAGACCTTGTCTCTGGAAAAAAAGAAATTGGGATGGAGGATGAGGCCACATTGGTAAGGGATGGGGCTGGAGGGTGCGACAGGGCCAGGGAAGCGGATGGAGAATGGAGGCTGGGGTTGGAAGATGGATGTTGAAGGGCGAGACAGGGATGGAGATGGAGCATGTGGGATGCGGGCAGAGATAGGGATGGGAAGCAAATGAATGTCGTAGTGGATGAAGGTGGGTGTGCTGGGAAGGAGGTTCCAGGATAGGGATGGGGATGGGGATTGAGGATGGGCTATGGGATGGAGGACGGGCTATGGGATGGAGGACGGGCTGCGGGATGGGGGACGGGCTGCGGGATGGGGGACGGGCTGCGGGATGGGGGACGGGCTGCGGGATGGGGGACGGGCTGTGGGATGGGGGACGGGCTGTGGGATGGGGGATGAACACGTGGATGAGATTTTGGCAGTCAGTGACTGTTGGTTGGACAACAGCATTTGCTGATATGTGAAGGGTTGGAGGGTGGTGTTAATAGATTTATGGGTGTGAAATCTGTGATACAGCTTGAAAATGGTCGGTAGTTTGTAGGCTTGAGAAATAGCAGTAGGAGAGGGGAGGGACCCCTTTGGACGGGGAGAGCGGGAAGGAGACTGGGGAATCCTTGCGCTTGGGCGACTGCAAATACATGTTTCTTTAAGGAGGAAGTAGGTTGGGGACCCCGGAAGGAGGCTCTTGGCGGCCTCCCCCCATTGCCATAGAGACGTGGCTTCGGTTGCCCTGGCAATTGGGGAAGCCCCTAGGACCGGGCTAAAGCGGGCCCCGCCTGGGAGTCTAGAGACCAGGCGATTGACGTCAGGGACCTGGGCACGCCCCACTTTAACCCTTTCCCGAATGAAGTGGGGGGAGGGAGTAGATGAGCGGGATAGGACCCGGATGTCTTTCACCACTCCCAGTTCCTGACGTCCTTTGCACTGCGTAGGGTGAGGGGCGTAGGGGAGCGAGGAAGGCAGGTTATTCAGGATGCGCTGCGCCCACAAACCTCTTCAGCCCGGCCTCCTCTCGGCCTGGCTAACGTGGGGCGGGGCCCAGGGCAGGAGAGGCGGGGCTAGCGGATCCCTTCTGCGCTCAGGAGTTTGGTCGGCCCCAGGCCACGCCCCACCCCCCTGTTGTCCTGACGACAGGGCCTCCTGGAGGTGGGTCTCCCCGGGTCTTGACTGGTCCTAGATACCGTTGCTAGGCAACACGGTCCTTAGAGGAAGGGGTGGATTGGACGGCTGGTTGGTGAGACCGAGGGAGGGGCCTGCAGCTGGGGAACCCCGGATTCCCGGGGTGCAGGGTTTAGGGCAAATGTCTGTGAAAGTGAGGGGCAAGTCTAGGGGAGGGTTATGAAAATATCTGGGTAGATATGGGGGGTTGGGGGGATGGGGCAGGAAATGGGGACCAGGACCCGGTGGACATGATCCCTGGGGTGTCCATGTGTAGCACATAAGGCATGTAACACCCTGTGGTGTTACATCCGGTGAGAAGCTCCCTTCCCCCAAGCCTACCCCCCTCTCCCCACTCTTTGCCATCTGCTGCTCCCCTCTCCGTCTGGCTGTCTCCCTTCCCGCTTCTCCTACACCTCCTTCCACATGCAGGGGGCCCCGGGCTGGGCAGAGTTAGATCCTTGCGCGTGTGCATCTGTGCGTGTGTGTGCGCGTGCGCATGTGCACGCGTGTGCGTGTGTGTGATGTGGATTGAGGCTGGGCCCTTGAGCAGCTCTCAGGGTGGCGGAGTGGGCTTGGCTAAGAGGCTGAAAGGGTAGCCACGCTGATGGGACCCTCCGTTATGGGCTCCCTCTCGAGTCAAGGCTCAGGCTGCTTTTTGTCTCTTGTTTTCCCAAACAGGCCAATTCTCCCCCAGTGATTGTCAACACAGATACCCTAGAAGCCCCAGGATATGTGAGTTGTTTAGATTTTGGGGCTGGGGCCATTGCAGAAGGAAGGAGGGAGTAAGGGAGGGCAGCAGATGACGGGCAGGTGGTCAGACAGGAATGTCTGTCTCACTGCTTTTGTGTTTCTGTCCCGTGCTGGAGTTGCAGGTGAACGGGACCGAGGGGGAGATGGAATACGAGGAAATCACATTGGAAAGGGTGAGCAGGCTCCTCCATCGGCAGTCCCCGTGGCCTCCCGTCTGTACCTTTCTTTCTGCCATGTGGTCTGGGTGGCTAGCCCCTCACCCTGTGCCTTCCTCCTCTGGCTGCTCCAAGCCATTTCCCACCCCACTTGCCTTGCCAGACTTGGGCAGTGAGGGGAGCTGACCCTCTTCCCCTCCTTCACCCAGGGTAACTCAGGTCTGGGCTTCAGCATCGCAGGTGGCACTGACAACCCACACATCGGTGACGACCCATCCATTTTCATCACCAAGATCATTCCTGGTGGGGCTGCGGCCCAGGATGGCCGCCTCAGGTGGGGAGAGGAGACAGGGGTTAGGTTGCTTGGTCCCTGGAGAGGGAGGGCCAGGGCAGCAGGAAGCTCTTGGCTCAGGCCCACCTTGCTGCTCCCAGGGTCAACGACAGCATCCTGTTTGTAAATGAAGTGGACGTGCGCGAGGTGACCCACTCAGCGGCGGTGGAAGCCCTCAAAGAGGCAGGCTCCATCGTTCGCCTCTATGTCATGCGCCGGAAGCCCCCGGCTGAGAAGGTCATGGAGATCAAGCTCATCAAGGGGCCTAAAGGTAGTAACTCATTTTGTTCCCACCCCCATCCCAACTGTCCTGTGCCCCCAAGCCTGCTTCCTGGGCACCCACCTCTGGCCTCCCCTCCATCCAGGTCTTGGCTTCAGCATCGCAGGGGGCGTAGGGAACCAGCACATCCCAGGAGATAATAGCATCTATGTAACAAAGATCATCGAAGGGGGTGCTGCCCACAAGGATGGGAGGTTGCAGATTGGAGACAAGATCCTGGCGGTGAGGACTCCATCTAGCCCATTTTCTAGCCCAGATTTGGGTCTCACCTACTAGCCCTGGCAGGCCCAAGTTCATCACTTCACCCCAGTGCTTCTGTCTTGGGCCATTTGTGGCTTTGTCTGAGCTTTGCTTTCCTTGACTCCAGGTCAACAGTGTGGGGCTAGAGGACGTCATGCATGAAGATGCTGTGGCAGCCCTGAAGAACACGTATGATGTTGTCTACCTAAAGGTGGCCAAGCCCAGCAATGCCTACCTGAGTGACAGCTATGCTCCCCCAGACATCACAACCTGTGAGAGCCCTTCAAACACCAAAGTTCCCCATGACCCATCCCGTTTAACCCATGACATGCAGTCCCACGACATCCCTGTAGCTGTCCCTCTTCAGATATTCCCTATGAAATAGCCACAACCTCTGATCCTTGCTGTTGTTGGAGAAGAGATGGAAAATCAATTACCATAAAAGAACTAGAAAAGATCGTCAACGATCTCTCTCCTGGAAGGCACAAAGCCTGGTTGGTTTTATGGCTAATTTTGTGAAATTCTCAAGGAATAGATAATTCTTCTGCTCTTCCAGAGTACAGGAAAAGATAAAAGATTTCACATTTCATTTTATAAGGCCAGTTCGAATGGTCACAAGGATAGTGTAAAATAAGGAGAGTATAGACCCGTTTTGCTTCTGAATAGAGATACAAGAGTTTACAATAATATAGTAGCAAAGCAAACATGGCAGCATGTTAAGGGAATAACATAGGGTTTGTTTCAGAAAACTAAAGATGGCTCAATATTAGGAAATCTCTTAATATGATTCATATATTAAAACGTTACGGGAGGCTAAGTGTGGTGGCTCATGCTTGTAATCCCAGCACTTGGGAGGCCAAAGTGGGAGGATTTGAGACCAGCTAGGGATTTGAGACCAGCCTAGGCAACAAAGCGAGATCCTGTCTCTAAAAAAATTAAAAAAATTAGCACGTGCCTATACTCCTTGCTACTTGGGAGGCTGAGGCTGGAGGATCGCTTGAGCCGAGGAGTTGGAAGCTGCAGTAAGCCAATGATTGCGCCACTGCCCACCAGACTGGGTGACAGAGCGAGAGGAGAAAACGATGTGATTATCTTAAATAGACGTGAAAAAGGCATTTGGTGAAATTCACCATCTCTTTTGGATGAAAGCTTTTAGTAAACTAGGAACACAGAAATTTTCCTTAAGATGGTGAAGACTAGTTATCAGGAACCAGTAACAAACATTTTATAATGATACAATTTTAGCAGTGTGTCCATTAACTTATTTTTTAATTTAATTTTAATTTTTTTCTTGAAATGGAGTTTCGCTCTTCTTGCCCAGGCTGGAGTGCAGTGGTGTGATCTCAGCTGACTGCAACCTCTGCCTCCCAGGTTCAAGTGATTCTGCTGCCCCGGCCTCCCGAGTAGCTGGGATTACAGGTGCCCACCATCACGCCTGGCTAATTTTTGTAGTTTTAGTGGAGACAGGGTTTCACCATGTTGGCCAGGCTGGTCTCGAATGCCTGACCTCAGGTGATCTGCCCTCCTCGGCCTCCCAAAGTGCTGAGATTACAGGCGTGAGCCACCGCGCCCGGCCTCCGTTAACTTACAAAGAGGGCAGGGATGCCTCTTCCCACTGCTATTATTCTTCATTGCTTTAGAGCAGGGTTTCTCAGTGTTACTCCTGACATTTTTGGACCCAATAACTCTTCATTGTGGGGGGTTGTTCTGTGCCTTGTGGGATATTAAGCAGCATCCCTGGCCTCTGTCTATCAGATGACAATGGTACTCCTCCCCCTCAGTCATAACAATTAAAAAATGTTATGACAGAATTGCCCCAGCGAAATTATGGTGGTTGAGAATCACTGCTTTAGAGATTTCAGACAGTGTAACAAGACAAGGAGAATAGTTACATTTGGAAGGGAAAAACAAAAGTTATCTCTATTTGTAAATTATACTACTGTGCATCTAGATCAAAATCTAAGTGAATTAACTGGAAAAATATGCAAAGTTAAGAATGTGGCTATTTGTTGGCTGGGCGAGGTGGCTCATGCCTGTAATCCCAACACTTTGGGAGGCCAAGGCGGGCGGATCACCTGAGGTCAGGAGTTTGAGAACAGCCTGGCCAACATGGAGAAACGCTGTCTCTACTAAAAATACAAAAAAAAATTAGCTGGGTGTGGTGGCGAGCGCCTGTAATACCAGCTAATCCTGAGGCTGAGACAGGAGAATTCCTTGACCCTGGGAGGCGGAGCTTGCAGTGAGCCAAGATCTCACCACTGCACTCCAGCCTGGGCGATAGAGCGAGACTCCATCTCAAAAAAAAAAAAAAAAAAAAACCAAAACAGGCTGGGCGCGCCGGTGGCTCATGCCTGTAATCCCAGCACTTTGGGAGGCCGAGATGGGTGAGTCACCTGAGGTTGGGAGTTCGAGACCAGCCTAACCAACATGGAGAAACCCCATCTCTACTAAAAATACAAAATTAGCCGGGCATGGTGGTGCATGCCTGCAATCCCAGCTACTCAGGAGGCTGAGGCAGGAGAATTGCTTGAACCTGGGAGGCGGAGGTTGCGGCGAGCTGAGATCGCGCCATTGCACTCCAGCCTGGGCAACAAGAGTGAAACTCTGTCTCAAAAAACGACAAAAAAAAAAAGGAATGTGGCTATTTGTAAGATAAATAACAGGAATTAGTAACTTCCCAGCAATAAGAAAATGTAGTGAATAAAAAGCCCCCTTTTGCCATAGAAAAAATTTCTATAAAATTATTAGAAATAGAAACTTGACAAGAAATGTAAGATTTGTATGAAGAAAATGACAAAACTTTACTGAAAGACATAAAACAAGACTGGAAGGGGTGAGGAGTCACACCGTGTCTCTGGATGGAAAAACTTAATATGCTAAAGATCTCAACCGGCTCCAAATTAATCTACATTCCATTCAATCCTAATCAGAATTTTAATGTTGTTTCCCTACTGGGAACTTGGAAGGTTGACACTAAAGTTTGACTGGAAAAATTTGTGTGGAAAAGCTAAGACATTTTGGAAACAAATAATGAGGTGTGGCAGCCCCTACAAAATATGAAATAATACTGTAAAACCATATTAAAATCATGTGGTACTATTCCTAAATACCATAACCTAACAAAAGGAACCTGGGCTCCTTGGAAGAAGGGTCAATTTAAAATCTTTTTTTTTCTTTTCTTTTTTTTTTTTTTTTGAGACGGAGTCTCGCTCTGTCGCCCAGGCTGGAGTGCAGTGGCACGATCTTGGCTCACTGCAAGCTCCGCCTCCCGGGTTCATGCCATTCTCCTGCCTCAGCCTCCCGAGTAGCTGGGACTACAGGTGCCCACCACCACGCCTGGCTAATTTTTTTGTATATTTTAGTAGAGATGGGGTTTCACCGTGATAGCCAGGATGGTCTTGATCTCCTGACCTCATGATCCCCCCACCTCGGCCTCCCAAAGTGCTGGGATTACAGGCCTGAGCCACCGTGCCCAGCCAATTTAAAATCTTTGGCAATAAATCTGTAAGATGAGCTTCTAACTTCTTTCATACTAGAGAGCAAGGAAGGTATCCAGGACTAATAGGGTCTCAGCAAAGACACAGGATCCAAACTGAAGGTGCTTCTACTGTCCAGTGAAAACTCGTTAAATATATTAAAATCTTTAAGATCATAATAATACTTAAAAATATTTTGGCTGGGCGCGGTGGCTCATGCCTGTAATCTCAGCACTTTGGGAGGTTGAGGCAGGCGGATCACCTGAGGTCAGGAGTTCGAGACCAGCCCGCCCAACATGGCGAAACCCCGTCTCTACTAAAAATACAAAAAATTAGCCAGGCGTGGTGGTGGGTGCCTGTAATCCTAGCTGCTGGAGAGGTTGAGGTGGGAGAATCCCTTGAACCTGGGAGGCAGAGGTTGCAGTGAGCCAAGATCGCACCACTGCACACCAGCCTGGGCGACAAGAGTGAAACTCCATCCCAAAAAAATAAATAATTAAAAAAAAAATTGGAGGATGCTAGGCAATCTCATTCATTCTGAAATTGGTGAATGAATGGAAAGAGGCATGCAGAGAGAGGCATGCATTTATCCTCCCTTTCATGTACCAGCTACCTCAGAGAGTAACCAACAGGTTGACATAGGGCTGTTTTTTTGTTTTTGTTTTTGCTTTTTTTTTGTTGGAGGCAGGTCTTGCTTTGTCACCCAGCAGGCTGGAGTGCAGTGGTGTGATCTTGGCTCACTGCAACTTCCGCCTCCTGGGCTCAAGCGATCCTCCCACCTCAGCCTCCCGAGTAGCTGGGATTACAGGCGAGTGCCATCATGCTCAGCTAACTTTTTTTTTTTTTTTTTTGAGATGGAGTCTCACTCTGTCACCCAGGCTGGAGTGCAGTGGCACGATCTTGGCTCACTGCAACCTCTGCCGCCCGGGTTCCAGCAATTCTCCTGCCTCAGCCTCCCGAGTAGCTGGGATTACAGGGCCCTGCCACTGCGCCCAGCTAATTTTTGTACTTTTAGTACAGATGGGATTTCACCATCTTGGCCAGGCTGGTTTTGAACTCCTGACCTTGTGATCCACCTGCCTCGGCCTCCCAAAGTGCTGGGATTACAGGCGTGAGCCACTGCGCCCAGCCTCAGCTAACTTTCAACTTTTGTCTTTTGTAGAGATAGGGTTTCACCATGTTACCCAAGCTGGAGGAATTTTTTTTTTTTTTTTTTGAGAGGGAGTCTCGCTCTGTCACCCAGGCTGGAGTGCAGTGGCACAATCTTGGCTCCTTGCAACCTCCGCCTCCTGGGTTCAAGCAATTCTCCTGCCTCAGCCTCCCGAGTACCTGAGATTATAGACGTAAGCCAGCACGCCCAGCCTATTTTTGTATTTTTAGTAGAGACGGGATTTCACCATGTTAGCCAGGCTGGTCTCAAAGTCTTAACCTCAAGTGATCTGCCTGCCTTGGCCTCCACAGTGCTGGGATTACAGGCATGAGCCATCGTGCCTGGTCGAGATTTTTCTTTTTTACAGAAGAATTCCCACTAGTAAATGACAATCACCACCATTTTGCAGTCCTTGATACTTATCAGAACCAGGCGGTGATTGTCAGTGTGGCTAAAACTTACCTGAAAGGCTGATGGGGCGCTAGATAATGGATGGACTGGGCTGATGACCCTGAACCTACCATTAATCTTACCTGACAGAAAGACAACCAGGCATTATTGCATCCTGTGGTGATGCTGTAGGAAGAACGTAGCGCTACCTATGAAGTATACAGGAGTTACTAAAAAAAACTCTGAATTGAACTTGAAACTGATCAAGCCTCCAGAATGAACTGCCAGTTTACAGGAGATACAGGGGCAGAGGCATAGGCTAAACAAACCACAGGAGGGTAAGCAGTAATTTCCCTGTTAGAATTTCCCTCATAGGCTGGTCAAGGTGGCTCATGCCTGTAATCCCAGCACTTTGGGAGGCATAAGCGGGTGGATCATTTGAGTTCAGAAGTTCCAGACCAGCCTGGACAACATGGTGAAACACTGTCTCTACTAAAAATACAAAAATTAGCTGGGCATGGTGGCGCGCGCCTGTAATCCCAGCTACTTGGGAGGCTGAGGCATGAGAATCACTTGAACCTGGGAGGCAGAGGCTGCAGTGAGCCAAGATCACGGCACTGCACTCCAGCCTGAGACTCCTTCTCAAAAAAACCCCAAAAAAACAAAAGAATTTCCCTCATAGAATGTGGGAAATTCTTTTAGACAAATGACCTAGTTTTTTCAACGAATGGATGGCAGAGAGGTGGGGGGAAAAAAGAGGGAGAAGAATTTTATGGATTAAGAGATTCGAGTGACACAGGAACCCAGAGAAAACCCCCAAAGCGTAATATTAATGCTCCCTTTGACTTCCCCATCCCTGGCATACTGAGGACATATAACGTTCAAATCCTTTATCCCCTAGGACAACCAGCCTCTGATGTCACCTATAAATTCCTGACCCCTGATGTCACTGTGATCTGATATCCCCTTACCACCCCACCCTGGCATCTCTGGCAGAATATCTTCCCTTCCACCTAACTTTGGCTCTTCTGGCACCCTGGGGAGAAGGTTGGGTGGCGGGTGCTGTTTCCCTCCAGGCACTTTCATCTCTGCCCTGTCTTCCTCAGCTTATTCCCAGCACCTGGACAATGAGATCAGTCACAGCAGCTACCTGGGCACCGACTACCCCACAGCCATGACCCCCACTTCCCCTCGGCGCTACTCTCCAGTGGCCAAGGACCTGCTCGGGGAGGAAGACATTCCCCGAGAACCGAGGCGAATTGTGATCCACCGGGGCTCCACGGGCCTGGGCTTCAACATCGTGGGTGGCGAGGACGGTGAAGGCATCTTCATCTCCTTTATCCTGGCCGGGGGCCCTGCAGACCTCAGTGGGGAGCTGCGGAAGGGGGACCAGATCCTGTCGGTGAGGGAAGGCCTGCCCCTACCTGCACCACCCCCTCCCCACAGGGCAGAGCGCAGAGCTCTTGGGGAGGGGCCTGGATGGGCTGCAGCCGAGTCCTCTTGCGGGACCACTCCCTGCTCCACCTGGACCCAGAAGTGCTGCCTCCTGTCTCTGGTGACACAGCCTGTCGTCCTCTCTCTAGGTCAACGGTGTGGACCTCCGAAATGCCAGCCATGAGCAGGCTGCCATTGCCCTGAAGAATGCGGGTCAGACGGTCACGATCATCGCTCAGTATAAACCAGAAGGTACCAGGCCGGAAGTTCCTTGTCTTGTGAGCTGAAATGGCCCTTAGAACTCTTCCTCAGCTGATGGCTTCAGTAGGGGAGGACAGGGGTGACAGTAGGATGGGGACAGAGCTCAGAAACCTCCCTGTCCTTCCTCAGAGTACAGCCGATTCGAGGCCAAGATCCACGACCTTCGGGAACAGCTCATGAACAGCAGCCTGGGCTCAGGGACTGCGTCCCTGCGGAGCAACCCCAAAAGGGGTTTCTACATCAGGTCAGAGGCTTCCCGGGCTGGACTCCTCAGCCCCTCTGCGTTCCTGGGCACTCTGTGCCTGGCCCGGGCCTCAGCCGCTCCTCTTCTCCACCCTGCCTGCTCTAGCTCCCCACCCCAGGCCTGAGGCGCAGCCAGGGTTCATGGGCTTGGCTGCACAGGTTAACATTTGAAATACTCCCTGTCGATGGGAAAATAGCCTCTGCCCCAAGTATCCCAATTGCCTTCTAGCCCCTGGTCATCCCAGCACTTCCCCGGGACTCCCAGGCCACCCCACAATTTGGCGTCTCGAAGGTTAATGCTTGGTGAAGCAGGGTCCTCTAGGGTATTTGGAGTGTTGCCCCAGCCTTCACGTCCCTGTGGGCAGTCCCGGAGACGTGGGCCGCAGCTCTGTGGTGCCTGCCCCCGTCTCTCCAGCGGCATTTTGCTCCCCTCTTAGGGCTCGTCTCCATTGACTCTTTTTGTGGCTTAGGTTTCTGCCAAAACACACCTCTCTCCCGCCCCCGGGGGTCACCCCTCCACTTCTGTCCCTGTCTGGCCCTGTGGCTTGCATGGCCTCGTCTGCCGCTGCGCTCTGCAGATGTCTCTCGGAGGTGCTGGCCCTGGCTGACCTATTTCCAGAGGTCAAGACCTGCACTTCTGGCCATTGGCTTTCTGGCCATCTCCACTGGGATGTCCCACAGGCGTCCCACACTCAACATGTCCCACGCTGAGCTCATCATCCTGCTGTGGGCCTGGGTTCCATCTTGCTGTGCCAGCAGTTTCCCTCTTGTTGGATGGCATCACCAGCCACCCAGACACTGGCTCCCACCTGAGCCCTTGCTCTGCCCTTCCTCCCTGCTCGGGTCCGGTTGGTCCCCAAGGTTGTTCTGACTCCCAGTGACCACAGAGGTTGTGTAGTGGCTCCCAGGCGGAATGTCATCTGGTTGTCACACTTCCAGGGGGCCCGGGGTCTCCTCCCTCCTCTCCAGGCCCATTGCTTTCTTCTGTGTCTTCATTACTTCCCTGGTTCTGACCCCAGGGGTTGTGACTTACTGATAGAAATTTGATACTGGTAAGGGTAACCATTATTTGGAAACACGGGACATTTTCTTTTTCTTATGAATTTGGGCAGATTCAGGGTTACCCCTGTGACTTTATGATGTGCGTGTGTACTGCACACTGCTTTCTGTTTTTCTTTTTCTTTTTCTTTTTTTTTTTTTTTGAGACGGTGTCTCGCTCCGTTGCCCAGGCTGGAGTGCAGTGGCGTGATCTCTGCTCACTGCAAGCTCCGCCTCCTGGGTTCATGCCATTTTCCTGCCTCAGCCTCCCGAGAAGCTGGGAATACAGGCACCCGCCACCGTGCCCGGCTAATATTTTGTATTTTTAGTAGAGACGGGGTTTCACCATGGTCTCAATCTCCTGACCTTGTGATCCGCCCGCCTTGGCCTCCCAAAGTCAGCTGGGATTCCAGGTGGGAGCCACCACGCCTGGCCCAAACTGCTTTCTTGAGAGGGTCAAGTTCAAGCCCTGCCTCTGGAAACTGTGCTCAGTGTGGACTGAGTGATGGCTAATAGTTGTTATGAGTTATAGTCAGCGTTTGGTCCCCACACAGTTTTGGGTTCCTCGGCATCCATAGCTCCCATGGGAGTGCCATCTGCAGACCTCTGGGCCGGGTCTTTGGGTGACTGGGGCATCCTTCCTGGAGTCCTCAGCTGGGCTCTGACCGATAGCCACTTGCCCTCCAGGGCCCTGTTTGATTACGACAAGACCAAGGACTGCGGCTTCCTGAGCCAGGCCCTGAGCTTCCGCTTTGGGGATGTGCTGCATGTCATCGATGCTAGTGATGAGGAGTGGTGGCAGGCACGGCGGGTCCACTCTGACAGTGAGACCGACGACATTGGGTTCATCCCCAGCAAACGGCGGTGAGGCTCCTGGGCTCTGTAGCCTTCCTGCCACAGGCACTGAAGTTCCCAAGGTCCCCCGGGGTGGGCAGCCAACAGGGGATGGGTTTGCCCTCTGAACTCCTAGGGGTTTGTCTGTTGGGCCCTCCTGGGGTCCGTGGCTCCCATGAGCCTTTGGGAAGGACAACTCCTTATTGAGGAGCACAGTGTCCAGGGCTGCAGGAGAAGGGGTGTCAGCTGGCCCAGAGTATGGAGAAGGGGTTGTCAGCTGGCTCAGAGCATGGGGGTGGCAGGGGGTAGGCATTCCCCTACCCGCGTATCCCTCCATGTATCCCACAGGGTTGAGCGACGAGAGTGGTCAAGGTTAAAGGCCAAGGTAGGTGGAGGAGGGTGTGAGCCTGGGTGGAAGTGTGAGGGCTCATGGAGCTGAGCTCATAACTAACCCCGTGGCCTGCTTTTTCTTCTTAGGACTGGGGCTCCAGCTCTGGATCGCAGGGTAGGTAGGGTTAGTTCGGGAAGATGTGGGTGAGAGGAGCACTGAGTTGCTTTTGATATCCTCAAGGGGGAGACAGGGCTCCAGGTCCCCTGTTTCAGAGCCCCTTGCAGATGCCCCACCTCCCACCAGGTCGAGAAGACTCGGTTCTGAGCTACGAGACAGTGACGCAGATGGAAGGTGAGCCCTGGCCCCTGCCTTGGCCCCAGCACTTGCTGCTCCCCCAACCCTGCGCTCGGCCTAAGCCAGGCTCTCTCTGCAGTGCACTATGCTCGCCCCATCATCATCCTTGGGCCCACCAAGGACCGCGCCAACGATGATCTTCTCTCCGAGTTCCCCGACAAGTTTGGATCCTGTGTTCCCCGTGAGTGCTGGGGCCTTGGATGGAGGAGAAGGTGGAAGTGGGGGTGGGGCAGGGGAGGCCCATCCCTGGGGCCATAGGCAGAGCCTCCTGGGGGATCGGTGTGTAGGGAGATACAGGGTTTCTCCGAGAAGGGGTGCTTCTCAGCCACCCTCTCATTCCATAGTACCCATGCCCAGGCCAGAGACTTGGAGGCCCTGGAGGGTGCTAGGGGAAGCGGTTCTGGCCCTCTGCAGTCTTGGTCTCCCTGGCAGCTCCCTTTCACCAAAGGACCAGCTGGGCACTATGGGGATTTGATTGAAGTAGGCAGGATTTAAGCTAGAGGGATGGTGGTTAGATCTTTGGGGGGTGGGGTGACTTCCTGGCAGATACGACACGGCCCAAGCGGGAGTATGAGATAGATGGCCGGGATTACCACTTTGTGTCGTCCCGGGAGAAAATGGAGAAGGACATTCAGGCGCACAAGTTCATTGAGGCCGGCCAGTACAACAGCCACCTCTATGGGACCAGCGTCCAGTCCGTGCGAGAGGTGGCAGAGCAGGTAGGACCTGGCGGGCACCCGGTCCTCTTCCTTCTCCCCTCTCCCCACCCCACTGCCTCCCTCCAGCTTTCTCTAACTCTCTCTCTCTCTGTCTCTTTCCCTGCTGGGTCTCCACTCCGCTCCTCCACCTCCTTCTCCTCTTGGGCAACTCTGTCTGACTGCCTGCTCTCTGCCCCTGCTCTCTCTCCCACCTCCCTCACTTCCTGACCCCAAATTCCCCACCACCATCTGGCCTCTTTCTCTCCCCACTCCCTTCTCCTTGCCCCATTTCTCCTCTCTTCCCATGGCCTTGTCTTTGGTGGCTTGGCCTTCCCCACTGGGTCCCTCCCTTTTTCCTGACTCCCCGCTGGCCCTCTCCCCTGCCTCACCCTTTTCTGGGGCCCGGCTCCCCTCTCCCACTCCTCTGCTAACTCCTTTCCTTTCCCCGCTGCTCCTCACCCTGCCCTCCCTCCCTCCCTCCACGGTTCCTTTCTCCATCTGCCTCACTCCCTCCCATCTGTCTCCTTGTTCCTTCCATCTGTCTGTCCTCTGTCCGTCCTCCCCTCCCTCCTCCCTCTATCCTACTTCCTTTCTCCTTTTTCTTGGCTTTCCTTCCCGCCTGTGTCACCTCTGCCTTGCACACCCCGCCCCACTCGCTGCTGCCCCGGCTCTGCCACCATCTCTTGGGTCCCTGCCTGCCTGGTGCTCCTCCCTTCCTCCATTCTGTCCTGTCCCTGCCCTCTCCCGTGCTCTCCATCTTCCCTTTCCTTTCCCTCTGTCTTTTACTCTGTCCATACCCGCTTCCTGCCTGACTCTCTGCCCCCGTGTTTCTTGACATCCATGTCACTCCCCTTCGGCCAACTTCCCATTCCCCACCTCTCCCCGTCCGTGTCCCTCCGGCACTGCTCTCTGTCCTTTCTCGCCACCCGCTGGCCCCCCTCCGCCCACCCTGCCTGCCCCCAGGGGAAGCACTGCATCCTCGATGTCTCGGCCAATGCCGTGCGGCGGCTGCAGGCGGCCCACCTGCACCCCATCGCCATCTTCATCCGCCCCCGCTCCCTGGAGAATGTGCTGTGAGTATGGTCCTGGGGGCCTCCCCTTTGCTCCCCCAACACCTGTGGCCCTGGGCCTCACAAGGCGTCTGCGTTCAACTCTCCCTTCAGAACCCTGGACAGCGGTTTCAGCAGCCCCTGAGGGGGATCCCTGGAACCCAGAGGATGTGGGGGAATCGGGTCTTTCCCCTCCTCTCCTGCCTTGGCTAGACAGGACTACATTTCCCAGCAGCCCCTGGGGCATACCAGCTGGGGCGAGTCAGGGCCTCTAGGGCTGTTGGGAATTGGAGTCCGAATCCCATCTCTGGGGCTGAAGGCTGGAAGGATGAAGCTCCGTAGATGTCCCTGGAGTAGCCACACCTGGCTGGGGCGGTTGCGGGTGGCAGGGGGGTGGGGGGTGGTTCTCATCTGTGGCCCCAGAGGATATTGGGAATTGTATTTTTTTTTTTGCTATGTGCTCCAAATAGAAGAATACTTAACATTCCTGGATAGAGGAGATAAAAGGCAGGGTCAGGTGGGTCCAGTCTCAGGCCTGCTCTCCCTCCCTCTTCACAGAGAGATTAACAAGCGGATCACAGAGGAGCAAGCCCGCAAAGCCTTCGACAGAGCCACCAAGCTGGAGCAGGAGTTCACAGAGTGCTTCTCAGGTGAGGCCACAGCAAGGCTGTTGCCAGCATGTAGGGTGCCCTTGCTCGGATTAGAAAGAGCTCCCCCGCCACCCCCAGTGGATGGCTTAGAAAGAGGTGCCCCTGTGGGCGCGGCATGGTGGCTCACGCCTGTAATCCCAGCACTGGCGGGCACCTGTAATCCCAGCTACTCGGTAGGCCGAGGCAGGAGAATCGCTTGAACCTGGGAGGCAGAGGTTGCAGTGAGCCGAGATCGCACCACTGCACTCCAGCCTGGCGCTAAGAGCAAAACTCAATCTCAAAAAAAAAAAAAAAAAAAAAAAAGAGGTGCCCCTGTGGGCGGGTGCAGCCCCAGGACTTATGGCTTGGAGAGTTGGAAAGAGGTGCCCCTTCCTCTGGGCTGGTGCAACCCCCTTGGCCAGGTGTCCTCTGGCCCTTCCTTGGCCTCACTCCCTGCTCCACCCCACTCCCAGCCATCGTGGAGGGTGACAGCTTTGAGGAGATCTACCACAAGGTGAAGCGTGTCATCGAGGACCTCTCAGGCCCCTACATCTGGGTTCCAGCCCGAGAGAGACTCTGATTCCTGCCCTGGCTTGGCCTGGACTCGCCCTGCCTCCATCACCTGGGCCCTTGGTCTGGACTGAATTGCCCAAGCCCTTGGCTCCCCCCGGCCTCCCTCCCACCCCTTCTTATTTATTTCCTTTCTAACTGGATCCAGCCTGTTGGAGGGGGGACACTCCTCTGCATGTATCCCCGCACCCCAGAACTGGGCTCCTGAACGCCAGGAACCTGGGGTCTGGGGGGGAGCTGGGCTCCTTGTTCCGAGCCCTTGCTCCTTAGGATCCCCGCCCCCACCTGCCCCCAATGCACACACAGACCCACCGGGGGCCACCTGCCCTCCCCCATCCTCTCCCACACACATTCCAGAAGTCAGGGCCCCCTCGAGGAGCACCCGCTGCAGGGATGCAGGGCCACAGGCCTCCGCTCTCTCCTAAGGCAGGGTCTGGGGTCACCCCTGCCCTCATCGTAATTCCCCATGTTCCTTGATTTCTCATTTATTTTTTCCACTTTTTTTCTTCTCAAAGGTGGTTTTTTGGGGGGAGAAGCAGGGGACTCCGCAGCGGGCCCCTGCCTTCCACATGCCCCCACCATTTTTCTTTGCCGGTTTGCATGAGTGGAAGGTCTAAATGTGGCTTTTTTTTTTTTTTTTCCTGGGAATTTTTTTGGGGAAAAGGGAGGGATGGGTCTAGGGAGTGGGAAATGCGGGAGGGAGGGTGGGGGGCAGGGGTCGGGGGTCGGGTGTCCGGGAGCCAGGGAAGACTGGAAATGCTGCCGCCTTCTGCAATTTATTTATTTTTTTCTTTTGAGAGAGTGAAAGGAAGAGACAGATACTTGAAACTTGGTGTGTGGCCTGGTTATTTGGGACCTGGGTGTGGAGGGAGATGGGCGCAGCAGAGTCAGATCCTTCTTCACTCCAAGCCAGAGAGGTTAGTGGCCTGGAAAATGGGCCAGGGAGGTAACTGGCAAATCAAGGAACCCGAGTTGGTGAAGACTGAGCCTGGGAAGGTCTGGAGCTCTGTCCAAAGTCATGACAGGCCAGAAAGGGGAGGCTGGAACTTGTCTGGGGCCCTGCAGACTTAGTCCAGCTCTGATCCCTGCCGGGCTGTCTCAGTCCTGTTGGGAAGCACAACAGTCCTTAAAGGAAAATAGAGAGGAAACTTCGTTCATTCATGTTCATGGAGTTGTGGACAGAGCTAGGATCTGGAAATGATTTTTTTTGTTTTTTTGTTTTTTTTTTTGAGACAGAGTCTTGCTCTGTCGCACAGGCTGGAGTGCAGTGGCTCGATCTCGGCTCACTGTGATCTCTGCCACCCTGGTTCAAGTGATTCTCCTGCCTCAGCCCCCTGAGTAGCTGGGATTACAGATTACTGCCACCATGCCTGGCTAATTTTGTATTTTTAGTAGAGATGGGGTTTCACCATGTTGGTCAGGCTGGTCTTGAACTCCTGACCTTGTTATCCACCCGCCTCAGCCTCCCAAAGTGCTGGGATTACAGGCGTGAGCCACCGCGCCTGGCCTGGAAATGATCTTTACAGAGTTCTGCTGATAAGAACTGCTGTGTGAATATACGCTAGGTTTCTTTATGCGCCCCCCCCACCCTTTTTTTTTTTTTTTTGAGACAGAGTTTCGCTCTTTCGCTCAGGCTGGAGTGCTGTGGTGCGATCTTGGCTCACTGCAACCTCTGCCTGCTGGGTTCACACGGTTCTCCTGCCTCAGCCTCTCGAATAGCTGGGATTACAGGCGCCTGCCACCACTCCTGGCTAATTTTTGTATTTTTAGTAGAGATGGGGTTTTGCTTTGTTGGCCAGGCTGGTCTCGAACTCCTGACCTCAGGTGATCCGCCCAGCTTGGCCTCCCACAGTGTTAAGATTACAGGCATGAGCCACTACGCCCAGCCTTTATGTCCTATCTCTATGGGAAAGATCTGAGGCAGCTTTGTAAATAATGAGGGTAGGAAAATAAGAATCTAAATGCCAAAGATGAAAACTGGAGAAATGTATATGAACTGTGAGGGTAAATGTGATCTCTGAGCTTCCTGATAGCCATGGCAAAAAAGGAAATTGTCAATTACCTACTTCTTTATTATAAGGGAGAAATAATTTTAGTTCTTTTAGGGAGTCATATTTTCCTGGCCCTAAGTCCTAACTGAAGCTCCTGAGATCCTGCTATGTAGAATGGTGACTCTCAGCCTTCTGCCTTCTTCATGTGTTTGGCACAGATGAACCTTTGGGGGCACCTGCTGGGGTACTATTCCTTTCTCTGATTCTCAGGTGCTCCAGTGGGTAAGGCTGAGGCAGAGGGCCCTAAGAGTTATGGTGGTTAAATCCCAAACAGTGCAAAAGGGCATTTTTTGTAGCCACTCCTGACTAAAGTTGAGAGTTTCATGCAAAAGACCAACCCAGGGGTAGTGATTCTGTGGATGGCATGGCCGTCCAAGCCTAAAGTAGTCCAAGAATAGAGGCAGAGATTGCTGAAGGGGTGTCACTTCAACCAGTAGCCACGTATTGCCCTGCAGGATTTTCTATGCAGGACCGAGTCCATCAGGATCCTGGGGATAGGGACCAGGGGTCTGCATTTCTGGAAAGCTCCCGGGTGATTTTGATGTCTCACTGGGTGGAGAAGCACTGCTTCAGAGGATTTTTTTTTTTTTTTTTTTGAGGTCGAGTTTCACTTTTGTTGCCCAAGCTGGAGTGCAATGGCGCGATCTCGGCTCACTGCAACCTCCAACTCCAGGGTTCAAGTGATTCTCCTGCCTCAGCTTCCCAAGTAGCTGGGATTACAGATGCGTGCCATAACACACAGCTATTTTTTAATATTTTTAGTAGAAACGGGGTTTCACCATGTTAGCCAAGCTGGTCTCAAACTCTTGACCTCAGGTGATCTGCCCGCCTTGGCCTCCCAAAGTGCTGGGATTACAGGCGTGAGCCACTGCACCTGGCCCTGATGTTTTTCAAATAATCCTTCTCTTAGCTTGGTTCTGTGTAATAGCAGATGGCTTGAGGCTGTGATAACGTTCTCTATCGTGAGCTGAAGGGAGAAATCTAGGAGCTGAGGAAGGTGTGTGCAGGTAATGCGTCTGCGTGTTAAACTAGAAGGGGCAGAATCACATATTTGACCTGGATGGGGTAGAATCACATAATTTTGCATGTATTATTATTATTATTATTATTATTATTATTGGAGACAGAGTTTCGCTCTTGTTGCCCAGGCTGGAGTGCAGTGGTGCGATCTCTGCTCACTGCAACCTCTGCCTTCCGGATTCAAGCTATTCTCCTGCCTCAGCCTCCCGAGTAGCTGGGATTACAGGTGCATGCCACCACGCCCAGCTAATTTTTTGTATTTAGTAGAGATGGGGATTTCACCATATTGATCAGGCTGGTCTCGAACTCCTGACCTCGGGTGATCCACCCCCCCCCCCCTCGGCCTCCCAAAGTGCTAGGATTACAGGCATGAGCCACCGCGCCTGGCCTGCATGCATTATTTTGTAAATTATAATCAGTACACGTACCTGACAACAATTCAAATAAATATAGAAATACATACTGTTTTTAAAAAGTTTCCTTCCTGTTTCCCTCCAGGCATTATTCCTCAGGGGAAGCACGGTTGCCGCTGGGGCTGTATTCTTCCAAGGCCATGGCCTGGCCGCTTGAGAAGGCAATGTAATTAATGCATTGGAGCCCTGGGCTCCCAAACAACATAGGTTCAAATCCTGGTTCCTCTTCTCCCCACACTTTTTACTTCTTTCAGTAAATACTTCCTTGGATGTTCCTTGGAACCAGGCAGTGTTCTAGATGCTGGGAAGGCAACATCCCTGTCCTTAGGGAACTTTGGGTGCATCCAGTGGAGATGACAGACTATAGGGAGTAAGTGAACACAGAGTGTTTAGACAATGATGGGTGCTACTATGAAAGAGAGTGATGGCCCTTGCTGGTTTAGACCGGGCGGTCAGGGAGGCCCCTTGCAGCATCATTTGGGTGGAGGCCTGAAGGACAACAAAGACTGGGGTGGTGAGAGTGTGCCAAGTAGGGAGACGAACAGTCTGGAAGGAATAAATTTGAAAGGTTGGAGGACAGAAGGAGGCCACTGGAGTGGAGTAGGGTGGGGGACAGAGAGAAATAGGTGTGTCAGAGAAGTCAGAGAGGCGTGGCACACAGGACTTCCCGTGGATTTTTCAGAGTGGTGTAGAAGCTGCTGGAGGGCTGTGGAGGGAACCGTGAGCCAGTTACTCTGGGTGTGAAGGGGAATACACAGCAGGGGGCAATGGAGAGCCAGCTAGGCTGTTGCTGGCGTTAGGATGAGGGACGATGGTGGAGTCACTGTCACTCTGGGGAGAGCTTAACCTCTCTAAGCCTCAGTATACCTAGCTGTAAAATGGAAATAACTACCTACCTTGGTGGATACTTGGGAGGAATAAACTGGAAAGTACACGTAAAGCCCTCAGCACAGTGCCTGACGCATGGTAGAAAATGGTAGCAATTATTGTCATTGGCCTCTTGGTCTATTTTCAGATATGCATAAGCCCAAAAGTTAAAGCCTGGAATCATTTGGAGTTTTAACAAGTTTTACCCTCAAAAAGTAGGAAAGAGGCAGGCCTGGCATGGTGGCTCACGCCTGTAATCCCAGCACTTTGGGAGGCTGAGGTGGGCAGATCACGAGGTCAGGAGTTCAAGACCAGCCTGGCCAACATGGTGAAACCCTGTCTCTACTAAAAAAACAAACAAACAAAAAAAGCTGGGGGTGGTGGCGGGCGCCTGTAATCCCAGCTACTGGGGAGGCTGAGGCAGGAGAATCCCTTGAACCCGGGAGGCGGAGTTTACAGTCAGCTGAGATTGCGCCACTGCACTCCAGCTTGGGCGACAGGGCAAGACTCTGTCTCAAAAAAAAAGTAGGAAAGAGGTATAGAGAGGGTCCTGGGTCAGAGAATCCTGGCTGTCCCAAGGTTGAAAAGGTGTGCCTGGGGTGGACAGAGTGGCATTGAGGAGGAGAGAGCTGGGGGGAGAGAGACCCTACTGGAGACAGGGAGCTTGGGCCCCCATTCCTGCAGGCCGGCTTCTTGTCAACTGCAGAGATGGGATATTGAAGCCCTTGGGGTGGGTTGTGTCAGCTCAGATTTAAACTTGTGTGCAGAGGCCCGTCTGCTCCTTTCAGCACTGGTGGTCCCCCTCTTCCCTTGCCCTGGCGCACAGCCCTCCAGCCCGAAAGGTTGGAGGATAGCCTTCCTTTTCCTCAACCTCCCCTGCTTCATCTCAACCCAATTCCTGCTCAGCCTCTTCTAGATATGGGACCATAGGCCGCCCTCTTTGGGAAGTTCGTGAAGAGCCTCTGCTTTGCCCCTCCTGCCTGTTTGTTCAGGTGCCTCTTTTCAGATCTGCGGGTATTAGACTCCCTGCAGGCCTGGGAGGAGGTCTAGCTCCAGCCCTTGGGTGCACAGGCCCATCCCAAACATGAGGCTGGAAAGTGCTCTGAGAGGGTTGGCAAGGACTGAGGGAGCTCAGAATCCTTCTCCATAGCAGGGGAAGGGACTGTCTCAACTCAGATAACCCCCGGGCCTCCAGCTCTGTCCCAGCGAAGTTGCTATAACCACCCTCTGGGGTGTGGGGACAGACATCCTCTGCCATCCTGATCCCAATCTTCTCCCTTTTCTCCTCCTCCCAAACTGGAAGAGGCCTTGGAGGTCTAATGCAACTCATGGCTGTGTTGCTAGTGAGAATAATAAAAATAAAATCAGCTAGCACGTGCTGAGCACCTGGTGTGTGCCAGCACTGCGCTAAGTGCTTTTCACTCATTATCCCATTTAACCTTGATGAGCACTCTGAGCGGGGCATGAACCCATTTTCCAGATGAGGGCAAGGTGGAGCAGGTCTGGCTGATGGAGGGCCTCAGGCTGGTTTTGCAGCATGAGCATCTTCCTGGAGCCTCCGGCCTTCGGCAAGCTTCTTGCTCAGCAGCCACAAGCCCTCTTGCTTCCAGCCCCTTCTCCTCTGTTCACCAGCGGCTCAGGCCTCCCCCAATCTGAAAATACTCCAGTCTTCCTGACTTACCCTTATGGGAAGTTCATTCCATTATCTCTCCTCAGCAAAATATATATATATATGTACACTTTTTTTTTTTTTTTGAGATGGAGGCTCGCTCTGCCACCCAGGCTGGAGTGCAGTGGTGCAATCTCGGCTCACTGCAAGCTCCGCCTCCTGGGTTCAAGCAATTCTCCTGCCTCAACCTCCAGACTACCTGGGACTACAGGCGCACGCTGCCATGCCCGGCTAATTGTTTTGTATTTTAGTAGAGACGTGGTTTCACCGTGTTGCCCAGGCTGGTCTCCAACTCCTGAGCTCACGAAATCTGCCCGCCTCGGCCTCCTAAAGTGCTAGGATTACAGGCATGAGCCACCGCGCGTGGCCTCCCTAGCAATATTTAACTTGGTGCTTATGGTCCCCAGAGCTGGCCCTGAAGCTTGGATGACTGCCAGGCCTGGGTACTTCCTTCTGCTTCTCCCACTGGCAGGGACTGTCCTGGGCTGCTTTCTTTCCACCATGCCCTCTCACGGAGCAGGGTCGCCACAGGGCACTTTGCCACACCTGGACCTCGCCCACAACTCTGCTTTCAGAGGCTCCTGCTCATAAGTCTCTTCAGACTCCAGACCCATCTACAGTAGCCTCTGGACCCTGGGCAGGTGTGCCACTGTCCCCCACCTCCCTGGTCCCCTCCTGACTGCACATTCAGTAGCTACAGGTCCACTTCATTCCCCTGCTAAAGTTCTGCTCATCTGGCCTTCCCTGTCTGGCCTCCAGCCTCACAGTTTCTCACTGAGACCAACGCAGCAGCCTCCTGATCTCATCTCCCTGCCTCTGGGCAAACCATCTCTGAGCCATCACCCACTCCAAGGCCAGGCTGTTGTTAAACTCACAGATCTGACCTCACCACTGCCCTGACTGCAACTCTTTATGGGTCTTCCTTTGTTATCAGCAATACAAAATTAATACAGGAGACTTTCTCCACAAGGAAAATCCAAGGTCCATATCCTCTAAAATTCTTCAATATTTGAAAACGTTATTAATTTGTATTAAAGAAAATATTTATTTATTTATTTATTTATTTATTTATTTATTTATTTATTTTGAGATGGAGTCTCGCTCTGTCGCCAGGCTGGAGTGCAGTGGCGGGATCTTGGCTCACTGCAACCTCCGCCTCCTGGGTTCAAGCCATTCTCCTGCCTCAGCCTCCTGTGTAGCTGGGACTACAGGCGCATAGAGAAAGGGTCTTGGTCTGTCACCCAGGCTGGAGTGCAGTGGCATGATCTTGGCTCACTGCAACCTCCGCCTCCCAGGTTCAAGCGATCCTCTCACCTCAGCCGCGTGAGTAGCTGGGACCACAGGCATGCACCACCACACCTGGTTAATTTTTTGTATTTTTGGTAGAGACAGGGTTTTTCCATGTTATCCAGGCTTGTCTCGAACTCTTGAGCTCAAGCCATCTGCCTGCCTTGGCCTCACAAAGTGCTGGGATTAGAGGCATGAGCCACCATGCCTGGCCAAAAAATTTATTTTCTTTTTTTTTCTTTTTTTTTTTGAGACGGAGTCTCGCTCTGTTGCCCGGGCTGGAGTGCAGTGGCGCGATCTCGGCTCACTGCAAGCTCTGCCTCCAGGGTTCACGCCACGCCATTCTCCTGCCTCAGCCTCCCGAGTAGCTGGGACTACAGGTGCCCGCCACCATGCCCAGCTAATTTTTTTTTTTTGTATTTTTAGTAGACATGGGGTTTCACCGCGTTAGCCAGGATGGTCTGGATATCCTGACCTCGTGATCCACCTGCCTTGGCCTCCCAAAGTGCTGGGATAACAGGCGTGAGCCACCGCGCCCAGCCAAAAAATATATTTTCAAGAAAGGCATTCAAATTTATTAGCATACACAGGGATAAACCACAGAGTGATTACCCTAACCAAGGTATATAATCTTTTTTTTTTTTCTTCCTAGACAGAGTATTGCCCTGTCACCCAGGCTGGAGTGCAGTGGCTCGATCTCGGCTCACTGCAGCCTCTGCCTCCTGGGCTCAAGCAATTCTCTGCCTCAGCCTCCCGAGTAGCTGAGATTACAGGCGCCCGCCACCATGCCTGGCTAATTTTGTTTTGTATTTTTAGTAGAGACAGGGTTTCACTATCTTGGCCAGGCTGGTCTCAAACTCCTGACCTCGTGATCCACCTGCCTCGGCCTCCCAAAGTGCTGGGATTACAGGCATGAGCCACCACGCCTGGCCTATAACCTTTAATTTAATTTCATTTAATTAATTTATTTACTTATTTTGAGACAGGTTCTCACTCTATCACCCAGGCTGGAGTGCAGTGGCACCATCATAGCTCACTGTGGCCTCAACTCCTGGGCTCAAGTGATCCTCCCACTTCAGCCTCCCAAGTAGCTGAGACTACAGGCATGATGGGGTCTTGCTATGTTGCCCAGGACATGTGTCTCAAACTCCTGGCCTCAAGCAGTCCTCCTGCCTTGACCTCCCAAAGTGTTGGGATGACAGATGTGAGCCACCAGATCCGGCCTAACATGTTCTTAAAGAAATAAATGTAAAGGGTGAATGAATTCTCAGAGGGCATCAATCTACCACCATTGTGGCATAGTTTTGTTTTTAGCTACTTTTTGGTTTTCAGTATTATCTCTGGTATTTTGCAGAGGGCTTGGAAGTTAGTGGCCTGGTACATGGTATTATTTGTTTGCCTTCCATCTCTGACTTCCATTCTAAAGTTACTTGCTTTGCCAAGGGTGGTGGCACAAACCTGTAATCCTAGCTACTCAGGAGGCTGGGGAGGGAGGATTACTTGAGGCCAGGAATTTGAGACCAGTCTGGGCAACACGGTGAGACCCCCATCTCTAAAAATAATAATAATAATAATAATAATAATAAATGTTATTGCCTTTAGAGGGTGTTTTTCAGCACTGATCCAAGCACTGCTCCCTAATCAATGAGTTTGGGGAATGTGGTTATAGAGTAGAAATCAGATTTGAAAGCCTCTTACTCCAATATAATGTGCAAACGGAAAAATGCACATATCATAACTGCATACCTTTCTGCAGCTTTGCAAGCTGAACACCACCACGGTGTAACCAGCATCCACACCCAAGAGCTGAAGTTTTCCGTCATCCCCGACGTGCCTCTTGTGCTCTTGGCTAGTCACTATTTCTGTGAGGGTGACCACTATTCTTTTTTTTTTTTGAGATGGAGTGTCCCTCTGTTGCCCGGGCTGGAGTGCAGTGGCACGATCTCGGCTCACTGCAACCTCTGTCTCCCGGGTTCAAGCATTTCTCCCGCCTCAGCCTCCCGTGTAGCTGGGACCACAGGTGCCTGCCACCACGCCTGGCTAATTTTTGTATTTTTAGTAGAGACGGGATTTCGCTATGTTGGCCAGGCTAATCTCGAACTCCTGACCTCAGGTAATCCGCCCGGCTCGGTCTCCCAAAGTGCTGGGATTACAGGCATGAGCCGCCGCGCCCAGCCGGGTGACCACTATTCCGACCGAAATAATGTAGGTTCATTTGCCTGAATAAGCCCGATTGTAAGTGATTATATTAGAGGATGTTTAATTAACAGCCCAACAGTCAACAAAATCACTGGCCATTGTCCCAGCACATATAAATGACATGGTGGTTGTCAGGACACAGACAAAGGAGGGCACACACAGACCTGTCACATTTTATGCAAGAGATGTGTTCCTGAATATCTCACATCATTGAAAACTCTCAAAATTCAAGCCTTGTTTTCTCACTGAAATAACTGTAAAATAGGATTTGGATGACTTCACATTTGGGCCTAAAGTGAGACTTATTATCTTTTTTTTTTTTTTTTTTGAGATGAAGTCTTGCTCTTGTCCCCCAGGCTGGAGTGCAATGGCGCGATCTCAGCTCACTGCAACCTCCGCCTCCCGGGTTCAAGCGATTCTCCTGCCTCAGCCTCCCGAGTAGTTGGGATTACAAGCGCCTGCCACCATGCCTGGCTAATTTTTATATTTTTAGTAGAGACAAGGTTTCACCATGTTGGTCAGGCTGGTCTCGAACTCCTGACCTCAGATGATCCGCCCACCTCGGCCTCCCACAGTGCTGAGATTACAGGCATGAGCCACTGTACCCAGCTGATACTTATTATTATTATTATTATTATTATTTTTTTTTTTTTTTTTGAGATGGAGTCTTGCTCTGTCACCAGGCTGGAGTGCAGTGGCATAATCTCGGCTCATTGCAACCTCCACCTCCCGGGTTTAAGCGATTCTCCTGTCTCAGCCTCCTGAGTAGCTGGGATTACAGGCATGCACCACCATGCCCTGCTAATTTTTTTATTTTTAGTAGAGACGGGGCTTCATCATGTTGGTCAGGCTGGTCTTGAACTCCTGACCTCAGGTGATCCGCCTGCCTCGGCCTCCCACAGTGCTGGGATTACAGGCGTAAGCCACTGCGCCCAGCCGAGACTTATCTTTAATATTGCCTGATTTCCAAGTGAGCATAATTCAAATTCACATGGCTCTCTCTGAAGCCCCGTGGGGCTGTGAGGGACCATCGTTTAGCATCTCTGGGACACTGGAGCCCAGCTGTGTCAACGGGATGGGATCCTGGCTCTGTGTGATGGGTGTGGTTCTGGGGCCCGAACGCAGTGCCTGGAGTCAGGCTGCCCAGGTTCTAGTCTACCCTTTGCTGCTTCCTTGCAGCATGACCCTGGGCAAGCTCTTACCTTGTAGGGCCTTAGCTTTCTCATCTGTGAAATGGGATGTGCTCTGGGGATAATGAGAGAAGTTCATGAACGCAGTGACCTGAGGCACACAGTAGTAGTGAGTGGAGGTTTGCTGGCACCAGTCCCAGCGGAGGCTCTCCTGCCTTTCCTGGAACCAAGCTGGCCCTCATGCTGCTTGGAGGACTTTACTCCCCAGGAGAGGGAAGCAAGTCAGGCCAGAGCTGGGAAGCCTGGGGCTCAGCCCCACAGGAAACTGGGGCCTGCGGCTCCGGTGCCAGGGTCACAGGTCTGGATTGGGCAAGAGCAGAGAACCGGTCCCTCTGATCCTGTTCAGGGATATTTGGAGACACCAATAGTTCTGGGGAATTTAGAGGCAGGAAGCGAAACGGGGAGGGAGGAGGGATATGGCAAATCCCACCCCAGCCCCTCCTGGCCTGGCACCCCTCCCAAACGGTGCACGGAAGAGTGAGGTGACTGGCATGTGTGGGGGCAACACGATTCTCCTCCCTGGGGAGCAGAGCAGAGGCAACCCATCCCCCACTCCCACCCCCACACTCCCCTAAGTTCCAATCCATTTCCACCTCTGTTTACTGTCCAAAGTCCCGGGCACTGGAGATGCCACGTTTGGCGTGCTTGGACACACAGACACGCAGACACAGAGACACCGGGGCCCAGGGCCCTCCTATGGACCCTGCCCGCTCCCCTCCCATTGTCCACGGCTGTCCGCCCACCCCCATTCTCCAAGCTTCAGCCCCCTCCTTAGTTCGGCATCTGCACAGCACTGAAGAACCTGGGAATCAGACCCTGAGACCCTGAGCAAGTAAAATGGGAAGAGAGGTGGCGGGAGGCTGGCTGGGGGTGCAGGGGTGCGGAGGGAACCCAGGGTGTGTTGGGGGGTGCTGGGTGGGAAACATCAGAGGATGGATTCTGGATGTCAGGCCTGGGAGGGGATGGAGGAAAGAAGAAAGCTCCCGGTGGGGCGCGGTGGTCCACGCCTGTAATCCCAGCACGTTGGGAGGCTGGGGTGGGTGGATTGCCTGAGCTCAGGAGTTTGAGACAAGCCTGGGCAACACGGTGAAACCCCGTCTCTACTAAAATACAAAAAAGTAGCCAGGCGTGGTGGCGTGCACCTGTTGTCCCAGCTACTCCAGAGGCTGAGGCAGGAGAACCGCTTGAACCCGGGAGGCAGAGGTTGCAGTAAGCTGAGATCATGCCACTGCACTCCGGCCTGGGGACAGAGCAAGACTCCCTCTCAAAAAAAAAAAAAAAAAGAAAAGAAAAAAAAGAAAAAGAAAAGAAAGAAAGAAGAAAGGTCTCCATGATGGAGCCGTCAATCAGATGGGAGTAAAGAGATGGGCCCCTCATTCCCACTCTAGTCCTGGTGAGCCCCCACCTCAGCCCCAGCCTCAGTCTTGACTCAGTCCCAGGTCCAGCGCCAGCCCTATCATGACCAAGGAGTATCAAGACCTTCAGCATCTGGACAATGAGGAGAGTGACCACCATCAGCTCAGAAAAGGTGAGGGCCACCTTGCCCTGCCTCTGCAAGGCGAGAATTTGGCGGTTCTCCACCCCCCAGCCACAGCTCCTACTCTTGCCCGTGAGCCTGGCTCTCTCTCTGGGTCTGTCTCCCTCCCCCAACACTGGGAAAGGTGTCGGAACTGCCTCTCTCAGGAGAGGGGCGGAGTGTGGGGTTGGAGTCCCTTTATTGGTGACAGGTGCCCAAAGCTTTCCTGTGCCTCCTGGCCCTCGGAGGTGGACCCGGGGGTGTGGGAACAGCTGGAAGCTGGAGAGATGAGGTCACTGTCGGCTTCCTATGACGAAGTCACGCCCCCTCTTCCTTTCCCCTTCCAACACCACCCAGGGACCCCGGTCGTGCGAGCGTGTGCGTGTGTGTGTCAGTGATCAGTTTGGTGAAGGGGGAAAAGGTTTCTGTGAAGGGTCTGAGGATTCTGTGAGGGGGGCGATGAGGGGTCTCTGACCTGAGGGAGAACGAGACTCTTTTGCTTCAAAAACAAATTCCCCTTGACCCATTTCTTTGTCCTCCGAGCAGGGAATTGTTTAGGCTGAGCAAGGATGAAGTTCGTGGGGGATGGGGTGCAGCGCGCTTTGACGGAAGGAGGGTCCGCAGCGGAGGAGACCCGGCAGGGAGGCCCCCCCAACCCTCCAGCTCTCAGGGCACAGGGCTAACGTGTCTCTTCCCCCTGCTGGGTGGAAGACTTGAGGGCCTGAATGGTAGCTATTGCACCTTCTCTCCCTGCACGCAGCCAAAGACAAGTGGAATTCATGGACAGAGAAAGAAACCTTCCTTCTTTCCCCACTTTCAGGGGAAGCAGCGACTCCGAGGCGCGGGCCACTCAATTGCGTTTCAAGGCGCGGGAGGAGGGGGTGGACTGAGGTTCCTGGATTGGCTGCAGTGACGCAGTCATGCCATTAGGTGTCAGCAAAAGCTCAGGGCCTCGGTGGGATGGGGCGGCTCAGCGCTTAGCCCCCTTCCCCAGCCCTCTTTTCTCCCCGATTTCCAGTTGCCTCTGGCCCTGCAGGGTCGCCCACCGCCCGCATTTCTTCATGTACATGGTTCCTCCTAGACTACTAGGGCCGCCTTAGCTTGCTACCCTTTTAGGACCCTGGAGCTGTGCCAGGGTCCCCTCTGTCCCCGCGCTCCTGACACCCCCTCCTCTTGCAGGGCCACCTCCTCCCCAGCCCCTCCTGCAGCGTCTCTGCTCCGGACCTCGCCTCCTCCTGCTCTCCCTGGGCCTCAGCCTCCTGCTGCTTGTGGTTGTCTGTGTGATCGGATCCCAAAGTGGGTGCCCCAGGGGTGGGAAGGGGGCAACATTGGGGGGTGTTGACGGGGGACCGTGGCAAGGGAGTGGTGGGTGCAGTGGTGGCGGACACAGCGATCCCGTTTTCTTCTCTCTGCACGCTGTCCTGGCCAGACTCCCAGCTGCAGGAGGAGCTGCGGGGCCTGAGAGAGACGTTCAGCAACTTCACAGCGAGCACGGAGGCCCAGGTCAAGGGCTTGAGCACCCAGGGTGAGGGCGCTGGGGCGGGGCTGGGGCTGGGGCTGGGGCTGGGGGGCTGTCGGGAACGCTGAGCGAGCCTCTCCCGCAGGAGGCAATGTGGGAAGAAAGATGAAGTCGCTAGAGTCCCAGCTGGAGAAACAGCAGAAGGACCTGAGTGAAGGTCAGAGAGGGAGTGTGTGTGTGTGTGTGTGTGTGTGAAAGAGAGTGAGAATGTGTGGATGTGTGTGAGAAAGTGTGAGTGTGTGTGGATGTGTGTGAGAATGAGAGGGAGTGTGTGTGTGTGTGAGTCTGTGTGTGAGAATGAGGGGGAGTGTGTTTTGGGTGTGTGTATGAGAGCCTTGTGTGGATGTGAGAATGAGAGGGAGTGTGTATGTCTGTGAGTGTGAGAATGAGATGGAGTGTGTGTGAGTCTGTGTGTGAGAATGAGGTGTGTGTGTGTGAGAATGAGATGGTGTGTGTGTGGGAATGAGAGGGGGTGTGTGTCTGAGTGTGAGAATGAGATAGAGTGTGTGTGAGACAGTCTGTGGGAATGAGAGGGAGTGTGTGTGAGAGTGTGAGAATGACGGAGTGTGTCTGTGAGTGTGATAATGAGGTGTGTGTGAGTCTGAGTGTAAGAATGAGATGGGGTGTGTGTGTCTGTGAGTGTGAGAGTGTGAGAATGAGGGGTGTTTGTGTCTGAGTGTGAGTCTGTGAGTGTGAGAATGAGATGGGGTGTGTGAGTGAGTGTGAGAATGAGATGGGGTGTGTGTGTCTGTGAGTGTGTGTGTGTTTGTGAGTGTGAGAATGAGATGGGGTGTGTGTGAGTGTGAGAATGAGATGGGGTGTGTGTCTGTGTGTGAGAATGAGATGGGTGTGTGTGTGACAGAGTCTGAGTGTGAGAATGAGAGGGAGTGTGTGTGAGTGTGAGAATGAGAAGGAGTGGATGGGTGTGTGAGTCTGTGTGAATGAGGGAGTGGGTGTGTGTACGAGTGTGAGTCTGTGTTTATGTGTGAGAATGTGTCAGTGTATGTGTGTGAGAACGTGTGTATGTGTGTTAGTGTGTGTTGCGTGTGTGGGGGAATGAGAGGGATTGTGTCTGTGAGTGTGAGAATGAGATGGAGTGTCTGTGAGACTGTGTGTGAGGAGTGGGAGTGTGTGTGAGAATGAGATGGGTGTGTGTGTCTGAGTGTGTGTCTGTGAGAATGAGAGGGAGTGTGTGTGTGTGTGAGAGCCTGTGTGAAAATGAGAAGGAGTGTGGATGGGTGTTTGTGAGTGGGAGAGTCTGTGTGTTTATGTGTGTGAGAATGAGGGAGTGTGGGTGTGTGTGCGAATGTGAGTCTGTGTTTATGTGTGTGAGAATGTGTCAGTGTATGTGAGAACGTGTGTGTTAGTGTGTTGCGTGTGTGAGAATGTAAGTATATGTGTAAGTGCATGTGAGTGTGTGTATGTGCGTGTTGTGTGAATGTGCATTGTGTGTGCATGTGTGAAAGAGTATATGTGTGTTGTGGGTGAGTGTGTGTGGTGTGTGTAGTGGGTGAGGGTGTGTTGTATGTGTGGGTGTGCGTTGTGTGAATGTGTGTATGTGGGTGAGGGTGTGTGTGCCTGTGTGAGGGTGTGTTGTGGTTTTTGTGTGTGTTTGGGTGAGGGTGTGTTGTGTGTGTGTGTGGGTGAAGGTGTGTTGTGTGTGTCGTGGGTGAAGGTGTGTTGTGTGTGTAGTGACTGTAGATTAGGGTGTGTTCCGTGTGTGTGTGTGAGGGTGTATGTTGTGGGTGTTTTGTGTGTGAGTGGGTGTGTAAGGGTGTGTTGTGTGTATGTGGGTTAAGGTGTGTTATGCGTGAGGGTGTATTGTGTGTGTGTTTTGTGTGTGTTGTGTGTATGTGGGTTAGGGTGTGTTGTGTGTTTGTGTGTTTTGTGTGTTGTCTGTGTATGTGGGTTACGGTGTGTTGTGCGTGTGAGGGTGTGTTGTGTATGGTGTGTTGTGTGTGTTGTGTGAGTGTGTATGTGAGTTAGGGTGTGTTGTGTCTATGTATGTGTGTGTAAGGGTGTGTTGTGTGTCTGTGGGTGTGTTTTGTGTATGTGGGTTAGGGTGTGTTGTGTGTTCTGTATTGTGTGTTTTATGTGTTGTCTGTATGTGGGTTATGTGTGTTGTGTGTGTTGTGGATGTATGTGGGTTAGGGTGTGTTGTGTGTCTCTGTGTGTTGTCTGCGTTTGTGTCTGTGGGTTAGGGTGTGTTGTATGTGTTGTGTTTTGTGTGTTGTCCGTGTGTGTGTATGTGGGTTAGGTTGTGTGTGTGTGTGTTGTATATTGTCTGTGTGTGTGTGTTAGGATGTGTTGTGTGTCTGTGTGAGTGTGTGTGTAAGGGTGTGTTGTGTGTGTAGGAGTGTGTGTGTGTGTGTGTATGGGGGTCTCTCAGGCCAACTCCGCTGCTGTTTGTGGCAATGCGACGGGTGTTCGGGTCCCAGCAGGAGGATGTAGGGCTGACCTCGTTTCCCGTTTCCCTCCCCGTGGTTTCCGCATCTCCTCCCGCTCCCCTCCGCCCGGTCTCCCCAGATCACTCCAGCCTGCTGCTCCACGTGAAGCAGTTCGTGTCTGACCTGCGGAGCCTGAGCTGTCAGATGGCGGCGCTCCAGGGCAATGGTAAGGAGGCCAGCCCGGCCCGCTCTCTGCCTCCCCCCTTCTCTGGGCAGCGCTTAGCCCCTGCGCCCCGTTTCTCCCGCTCAGGCTCAGAAAGGACCTGCTGCCCGGTCAACTGGGTGGAGCACGAGCGCAGCTGCTACTGGTTCTCTCGCTCCGGGAAGGCCTGGGCTGACGCCGACAACTACTGCCGGCTGGAGGACGCGCACCTGGTGGTGGTCACGTCCTGGGAGGAGCAGGTGAGGACCCGGAGGGTCTGGGAGGCTGGCTGGCCTCGGAGAGATCACCACCCGCCTTCTCTCTCCTCAGAAATTTGTCCAGCACCACATAGGCCCTGTGAACACCTGGATGGGCCTCCACGACCAAAACGGGCCCTGGAAGTGGGTGGACGGGACGGACTACGAGACGGGCTTCAAGTGAGTGCGCGCCCTCCCTCGGCCTGGGTCCGGCCGCCTTCGCGCCCTGGGGCCCTGGGCTGAGGAGTCTGGAGCGACCCGCCTGCGGATCCGACCTCCTGGGGCCCACAGCTGGCTCTGTCCCCAGGAACTGGAGGCCGGAGCAGCCGGACGACTGGTACGGCCACGGGCTCGGAGGAGGCGAGGACTGTGCCCACTTCACCGACGACGGCCGCTGGAACGACGACGTCTGCCAGAGGCCCTACCGCTGGGTCTGCGAGACAGAGCTGGACAAGGCCAGCCAGGAGCCACCTCTCCTTTAATTTATTTCTTCAATGCCTCGACCTGCCGCAGGGGTCCGGGATTGGGAATCCGCCCATCTGGGGGCCTCTTCTGCTTTCTCGGGAATTTTCATCTAGGATTTTAAGGGAAGGGGAAGGATAGGGTGATGTTCCGAAGGTGAGGAGCTTGAAACCCGTGGCGCTTTCTGCAGTTTGCAGGTTATCATTGTGAACTTTTTTTTTTTAAGAGTAAAAAGAAATATACCTAAACCTTCTGTTAGTTGTCTGGTTATTGGGGATTCGGAAGCAGGAGTGGGCTGGTTGGCATTACGAAGCCTTAGCGGGTGCTGTGGCATCATGAGAACTGTGTGGGCTTTGGGCCAGAATGGCCAGACTTTGTTATTTACAGATACGTGAGTTTGGGCAAATTATTGTTCTCTGTGTCCCAGCTGTAAACAAGCCATCTTACTGGAGGCCATCCTACTTGGAGCAATACCCCCAGGAGGAGAACTACCCGAATTTTTTTTTTGTAAGATGGAGTCTTGCTCTGTTGCCCAGGCTGGAATGCAATGGCACGATCTCAGCTCACTGCAACCTCTGCCCCCCGGGTTCAAGTGATTCTCCTGCCTCAGCCTCCCGAGTACCTGAGATCACAGGAGTGCACCATCACGCCCGGCTAATTTTTGTATTTTTAGTAGAGACCGGGTTTCACCATTGTTGGCCAGGCTGGCCTCGAATTCCTGACCTCAAGTGATCTGCCCCCCTCGGCTTCCCAAAGTGCTGGGATTACAGGCGTGAGCCACTGCCCCCGGCAGAACCACCCGAATTTGTTGAGTGCTTCAACAACTTCGAATGAAACTCACTGGTGTCCTTTGCATTCATTACAGCAAACAGAAGCAGTGTTCATAGACAGGTAGCAGATACAACGAACACACAACCAAGAATCACCAAACATACTAGGAAAACCAGTACTGCGGAACAGAAGCAACAAAGCGGATAGAATCAACAACCAAGGATGGGAGTTAGGACAAACCGATTCAGACATGGAACTGTGAACAAAAATTGCCAAAGTATTCACCCATAAACAAGACCTCAAGTGATTCCTAAGAGGAGCAATGCTCTGACCACAGTAAAATAAAGTTAGAAATGAACGTGAAAGTACAGCCAAGAAGAGATCTACCAACATATAATTTTCTCACCATCTTTTTTTGTATTACTGCCTAAGTAATTCTGAGTTTAAGAGAAAATCGAAATGAAAAAATCAAGTGATTTAGAAATACACTACAAGAGTACTGCATTTGCTGAAACCGTGGGATGCTCAAAGTAGTTCTCGGGAGAAAATGTAAGTAGAGATAAGCACTTCTATTATTTATTTTTATTTATTTATTTATTTTTGAGATGGAGTTTTGCTCTTTTTGCCCAGGCTGAAGTGCAATGGCGTGACCTCGTCTCACTGCAATGTCCACCTTCTGAGTTCAAGGGATTCTCCTGCCTCAGCCTCCCGAGTAGCTGGAATTACAGGCACCCGCCACCACGCCTGACTAATTTTTTATATTTTTAGTAGAGACGGGGCTTCACCATTTTGGTCAGGCTGGTCTCGAAGATAAACACTTTTACTAAAAAACAAGAAAGGCTGACTTGAAATATGCTGTTTCAACTCAAGAAACTTGAAACAGAATAAGATAAATCCCCTAAAGTAGAAGAAAAGAACTTATAAAACTATAAGCAGAAATAATGAACTAGAAAATAAAAATATAGATATGATCAAAAAAAGTAAAATTTGATGCTTAAAAAAGGCAAATAAGGCCGGGCATGGTGGCTCACACTTGTAATCTCAGCACTTTGGGAGGCTGAGATGGGCAGATTTCCTGAGGTCAGGAGTTCATGACCAGTCTGACCAACATGGTGAAACTCCATCTCTACTAAAAATACAAAAAAATTAGCCAGGTGTGGTGGTGGGCGCCTGTAATCCCAACCATTCAGGAGGCTGAGGCAGGAGAATTGCTTGAACTAGGGAGGTGGAGGTTGCAGTGGGCCGAGATTTCGCCACTGCACTCCGGCCTGGGTGACAGGGTGACAGAGCAAGACTCTGTCTCAAAAAAAAAAAAAAAAAAAAAGGCAAATAAAATAAAAATGAAGGAGAAAAAAAGGAGACACAGACATAACTTTAGAAAGGAGAAAGATTACGTAAGTAGAGACATAGGGGATATAATTACATAACACTTCCTGATTTAAAACAGTAAAGCAAATACAGTGTTTTTCCTGCCATTATTGTAATTTTTAGGCAAATCTCTTAGAAGCTGGGTTATAACTTTCAAACTTATAAGCAGGAAAAACGAAGAAAAAAATTAAACTAAAGGAAGAGAATAAAGGAGAAAAAAACCCAGAAGAGGTAGATAAGAAAAAACACAAAAGGTTGGTTATGAATCCACATATGTTGCGGATTTTATTAAATGCAAAATACCAAGTTATCTTGTTAAAAGACAAAAAAACTTTCCAGACAGAATAAAAAATAAAATCCAACTATATGCCCAAGAGCCACATCTGAAACAGGCTGGAAGCAAAATGATGAAAGACACATTGGTCAAATTCCAACCAAATGACTATCATATGAAGTACACTTTGTTTTATTTTATTTTTATTATTTTTATTTTTTATATATATTTTTTGAGATGGAGTCTCACTCTGTCACCCAGGCTGCAGTGCAGTGGCACCATCTCGGCTCACTGCAACCTCTGCCTCCCGGGTTCAAGCAATTCTCTGCCTCAGCCTGCCGAGTAGCTGGGATTACAGATGCCCGCCACCATGCCTGGCTAATTTTTGTATTTTTAGTAGAGACGGGGTTTCACCATCTTGGGCAGTCTGGTCTTGAACTCCTGATCTCATGATCCACCCGCCTTGGCCTCCCTAAGTGCTGGGATTACAGGCATGAGCCACCACACCCAGCCATGAAGTATAGTTTATAACAAAAAGTATTATTAGAGATAAAGAGGATCACTTCCTAATGATAAAAGGTTCAATTCAACAGGAAGATACACTAGTACTAAATATGCATGCACTGAATAACATAGCCACAAAATACGTGAAACAAAAATTTTAGAGGTATAAGAAAACAGACAAGTTTACATTCATAATAGATTATAAAATATCTCACTAATTGATAGATCAAGCAGACAAAACAATAAGGATACAGATGTTTTGAATCCCAGATCGAACTATTATGATCTAATGGACACATTTAGTACACTGTACTCATCAAATACAAAATACCCCCCCTTTTATTTTTGAGATAAGGGTCTTGCTATGTGGCCCAGGCAGGTCTCAAACTCCTGGACTCAAGCAATTTTCCTGCTTTAGCCTCCCGAGCAGCTGGAATTACAGCCATAAGCCCCCATACCCAGTGGAATACCTGTTCTTTTCAAGTATACTGAGACATTCTCAAAAAATTGAGCAAATACTGGGCCATTAATCAAGCTTTAACAATTTCCAAATGGAGGCTTTTCATTATAATGACCAGGAATGTAAAATTCTTTTTTTTTTTTTAATTGAGACAGAGTCTTGTTCTGCTGCCCAGGCTGGAGTGCAGTGGTGTGATCTCAGCTCACTGCAACTTCTGTCTCCCAGGTTCAAGCAATTCTTGTGCCTCAGCTTTCTGAGTAGCTGGGATTACAGGTACACACCATCATGCCCGGCTAATTATTATTATTATTATTGTTATTATTTTTTGAGACAGAGTCTCACACTGTCACCTGGGCTGATGTGCAGTGGTGCAATCTCGGCTCGCTGCACCTCTGCCTCCCAAGTTCAAGTGATTCTCCTGCCTCAGCCTCCCAAGTAGCTAGGATTACAGGTGCCCACCACCAAGCCTGGTTAATTTTTTGTATTTTTAGTAGAGACAGGGTTTCACTATGTTGGCCAGGCTGGTCTATTGCGGGATCTGGCCAGCAGCCCGCAGTTGCAACGCATTGCAATGCAGCCCGCAATGGCTCTTTCTTTGTTCCCAGGTGGATTGGCAGGTTGAGAAATAAAAGACACACACAAGATAGTGAAAGCTGGGTCCAGGGGCGTCACCGCCTTTTGGTCCTGTGATGCCGCCAATGCACTGGATATACCAGCATTTGTTATGAAGTTTAGTGAGGGTGGGGGTAGGTT
Organism: Homo sapiens; assembly: GCF_000001405.40. NCBI lineage: Eukaryota > Metazoa > Chordata > Mammalia > Primates > Hominidae > Homo > Homo sapiens. The sequence continues at coordinate 7,169,548 of NC_000017.11, read as the reverse complement.
AGTGAGGGATTTAGGGTCGTTTGATTATGAGGTGAGATGGTCACATTGGGGATGAAGTAATTCTTTAACATAACATCAGTATGCAGAAGTACAGTGTACAGAGATAAGAATATACAATATAGTGTGTGCGTCAGCAATTTCTAACAGAGCCTTAAAACAGAAACACAGTCTATCCCTAACCTATGATTAGCAAGATATTAATCAGCAGTAACAGTTGCAGCAAAAGCTGGTTACAAACAATCCATAGAAACAGGATGTGAAGCTAGACAACCAGTTAGACCAAAAATTCTCAGAAGGGAGTATGCCTTAACCCTAAAGAGGCCTAGAAGAGCCGTGGCAAGATAAGGGCATTTATAACCCTACCTTATCCATATGAACAGGTGCCCTTCATGCGTCCGTTTATAGGCTCTCCACAAGGGTCGCATTCCACTCCCAGAGCTATGAACATCTGCTTTTCTGGGATAGGAATCTGGGAGATATGAAACCTCCCTGACTGCATGTCCGTTTATAGGCTTTCTGCAGGGGGAAGCACATCATGCGCTGTTGGCTCATTCTGGCAGCCCAACCTGGCATTGTCTTTACACAATTCTGCATGCAATTTTGTATTTACAATAATTAGGAGCATTTCATCTTTATTCCATAGCAATAGTTTTAGGGGGTCTCCCTACACTGGTCTTGAACTCCTGACCTTATGATCCACCCGCCTCGGCCTCCCAAAGTGCTGGGAATGCAGGCATGAGCCACCATGCTCAGCCAATTTTTGTGTTTTTAGTAGAGATGGGGTTTTGCCATGTTGGCCAAGCTGGTCTCGAACTCCTGGCCTCAAGTGATCCGCCTGCTTGGATCCGCCCTCAAGTATTGGGATTACAGGCACGAGACACCATGCCCGGCCTAAAATTCTTTTATCAGATATTAGCCTATCAAATCAAATGCAGCATTAAAAAAGATAACATGGCCAGGTGTGGTGGCTCACGCCTGTAATCCCAGCACTTTGAGAGGCCGAGGTGGGAAGATAATGAGGTCAGGAGATTGAGACCATCCTGGCTAACATGGTGAAACCCCGTCTCTACTAAAAATACAAAAAATTAGCCGGGTGTGGTGGCGGGTGCCTGTAGTCCCAGCTACTCAGGAGGCTGAGGCAGGAGAATGGCGTGAACCCGGGAGGCAGAGCTTGCAGTGAGCCGAGATCGCGCCACTGCACTCCAGCCTGGGCGATAGAGCCAGACTCATCTCAAAAACAAAAAACAAGAACAAAAACAAAAAACAAAAAATAAAAAATAAAAAAGGTAACATGTTCAAGTAGTATAGATGCCAAGAATTCAAAGATGATTTAACATAAGAAAAATCTGTTAATATAATAGATTTAGAGAGTACAGAAAAATAGATTAAATGTGTACAAAAGAAAACAATTACACAATGCAGAAAAAACACTCAGCAAAAGTTCAGCTCTGATTTATGATGAAATCTTTCTGGACTCTAGCTGTTTCTACGTTGTTGCTCCATCGTTTCAATCTGTGGCTTCCATCACATGTTCCAAGATGTCTGCCCCTCCTGTTATGACACATTCCGGACAAGAGAAAGGGGAAAAGGGAAGGAGAATGGCGCATTCTCTCTCTGTCTATGCAGACACTTCCATCACTTCACTTTATATCTCTTTGATCAGAATTAGTCCCAGGGCCACAGATAGCTGCAAATGGGGCTGAGAAATGAACTTTATTCCATGAGGCCACATTCTTGCTAAAAACACAGGATTCTATTTTGTAGAGAAGGAGTCAGTAAACTTTGGCCCTCACCTGCTTCTGTAAATAAAGCTTTCTTTTTCTATTTTTTTTTTTTTTTCTGAGACGGAGTCTCTCTCCGTTGCCCAGGTTGAAGTGCAATGGCACAATCTCGGCTCACTGTAACCTCTACCTCTCAGGTTCAAGCAGTTCTCGTGCCTCAGCCTCCCAAGTAGCTGGGATTACAGACGTGCACCACTATGCCCGGCTAATGTTTTGTATTTTTTCTTTTTTTTTTTTTTTTAGTACAGACGGGGTTTCACCATGTTCGCCAGACTGTTCTCGAACTCCTGGCCTCAGGTGATCTGCCCATCTCAGCCTCCCAAAGTGTTGGGATTACAGGTGTGAGCCACCACACCTGGCCAGTTTTTTTTTTTTTTTTTTTTTTTTTTTTTTGCAACAAGGTCTGGCTCTGTCGCCCAGGCTGGAGTGCAGCGGCGTGATCTTGACTCACTGCAGCCTCTGGATCTTGACTCACTGCAGCCTCTGCCTTCCAGGCTCAAGTGATCCTCTTGCCTCAGCCTCCCAAGTAGCTGGGATTACAGGCGCAAGCCACCATACCCTGCTAATTTTTGTATTTTTTTGTAGAGACGGGGTTTCACCATGTTGCTCAGGCTGGTCTTGAACTCCTGTGCTCAAGTGATCTACCCGCCTTCGCCTCCAAAGTGCTGGGTTACAGGAATGAGCCACGGATCCCGGCCTGTAAATAAAGTTTTATCGGAACACAGCCATGCCTGTTTGTTTACATGTCATTTATGACCACAGCAACAGCAGAATTGAGTAGTTATGATAAAGACTGTATGACCTGGTAAGCCTAAAATACTTGCTATCTGGCCCTTTATAGGAGATGTTTCTGGACCTCTGGTGTAGCAAGAAGGGGATAATTGGTATTAGGGGTAATTAGAAGCCTCCGTTATAGTGCTATTATTGCTGTTCAGCATCATCCTGGGCATGGTAGCCAAACTGCACAAGACAGAAAAAGACATTAAAAGTTGTAAGAATTGGAAAGGAAGAGATAAAACAATATGCTCACCTATACAGAAAATCAACACCATCAACAAACAAACAAACAATTCGACCTAATAAGAGGCTTCGGCAGGTGTATTAGTCTATCACCACAATAACACATGAAGAACATACAAGAAGAAACTTAAATTCTTTCCAAATTAACATATACATTCAACGCAATAAAAATAAAATTTCAATTGATTTTCTTTTTGAGATGGATTCTCCCTCTGTCACCCAGGTGGGAGTACAATGGTGTAATCTCACCTCACTGCAACCTCCGCCTCCAGGTTCAAGCGATTCTCCTGCCTCAGCCTCTCAAGTAGCTGGGAGTACAGGTGCCCGCCACCACGTCCAGCTAATTTTTGTATTTTTAGTAGAGATGGGGTTTCACCGTGTTGGCCAGACTGGTCTTGAACTCCTGACCTCAAGTGATCCACCTGCCTCAAACTCCCAAAGTGCTGGGATTAGAGGAGTGAGCCACTGCGCCCGACCTCAATTGGATTTTTAAAAGCAATGCAACAACTTTAAAAAAAATATATGTGGCAAGATAAAAGTCAATATGGGAAAAAAAGGAGAAATTGGAGGAAGGGGGAACTAGCCTTATTAGACTTTAAAATATATTACAAAGCCATAGTAATAAAAATAGCACAGTAATGATACAAGAATAGACGGATAAACCAATGTTATAGAATAAAGAGCCGAGAGACAGAACTGTGCCTACATGGGAACTTAATATACAATAAAGGTAACATCTCAAATTGGTAGAAGAAAGACATTATTGGGAAAACTGGCTCACTCTATGAAGATAAGTAAAACTGGATTCATACCTAACATCACAGGCAAAGGTGGATGTTGGATAGATTGAAGACCTAAACATATAACATAAAATTACAGAACTAGTAGGAAAAAAGAAAGAAAGAAAAATCTATACTACTAAGAGTATAGAAGGGTTTCTTCTTCTTCTTTTTTTTTTTTTTGAGACAGAGTCTTGCTCTGTCGTCAGGCTGGAGAGCAGTGGCGTGATCTTGGCTCACTGCAACCTCTGCCTCCCAGGTTCAAGCAATTCCCCTTCTTAGCCTCCTGAGTAGCTGGGAATACAGGCATGCGCCACCACGCCCAGCTAATTTTTCGAATTTTAGTAGAGACGGGGTTTCACCCTGTTGGCCAGGCTGGTCTCCATCTCCTGACCTCATGATCCACCCACCTTGGCCTCCCAAAGTGCTGGGATTACAGGTGTGAGCCATCGCGCCCGGCTGAAGAGCTTGTTAAATAAGGCCTCCGAAGCACATTCCAAAAAGCCAAAAAAAATTTGTGAAATTGCATGAAAATGATAAATTTCAGTTCAACAGCAATGTATCAGGTAGGCTCCCAGCAAGCAACAGATGGCACACCCAAAAATGGGTAAGTGCAAGATTTCATAATATAGGGACTCTCTGCAAAGGTGTGAACAGGCTTAGGGAAGCCACAAGATGGAGCAAGAACCTAGGCATCCCAGAGTGGGGAGCTGTTACCACCTCCAGGACCGCAGGGAGAGGGCCTCCCAACAGGAGCTGTGATACTCAGTTGCAGGGGGCAGCTAACCCACAGCCACTCTACAGGGAGGGGCCGGGGAGTTAATATCCTCACTTCCCTCTCTTCCTGGAAGAGGGCTGGAAGCCAGATGGCAAGGGAGCGATTTGATGCAGTCATACAGCTCAGCCTCCCAGGCCACAGAACAACATGGAGAAGGATAGAGTGTGGATCTGGAAGGACAAATGGAAGACATTCAACACAGAAGGAGACCAAGATGAAGAAATACACAGGAAACCTATTGGAAAAGTGGCATCAGGTATAAACAAGCAGTTCACAGATGAGGAAGCCTGGGGTTCTAATGTGCATATGAAGACATGTTTACAATCACTAGTGACTAACTAGAGAAATCAAACACGAGTGAGCCATCTGTTTACACCCATCCAATTGACAAACATTAAGAGGAAGTCAATTGCTGCCAAGGTTGTGGGAGAAGCTGCTGATGGGAGGATAAATTGGAATAGCCATTCTGCAAGATATTTACTGGAATTAAGAATACATAGTATCAGGACGGGCACGATGGCTCACGCCTGTAATCCCAGCACTTTGGGAGGCCGAGGCGGGTGAATCATGAGGTCAGGAGTTCGAGACCAGCCTGACCAACATGATGAAATCCTGTCTCTACTAAAAATACCAAAATAAGCCGGGCATGGTGGCGTGCGCCTGTAATCCCAGCTACTCAGGAGGCTGAGGCAGTAGAATCGCTTGAATTCGGGAGGTGGAGGTTGCAGTGAGCCGAGATCGAGCCATTGCACTCCAGCCTGGGCAACAGAGGGAGACTTTGTCTAAAAAAAAAAAAAAATGCATATTATCGGCCGGGCATGGTGGCTCATGCCTGTAATCCCAGCACTTTGGGAGGCCGAGGTGGGTGGATCACTTCAGGTCAAGAGTTCTAGACCAGCCTGGTCAACACAGTGAAACCCCGTCTCTACTAAAAATACAACAGTAACAACAAAAATTAGCTGGACTTGGGGGCGGGCACCTGTAATCCTTGCCACTTGGGAGGCTGAGACAGGAGAATCGCTTGAACCCAGGAAGCAGAGATTGCAGTGAGCCAAGATTGTGCCATTGCACTCCAGTCTGGGTGACAAGAGTGAAACTCCGTCTCGAAAAAAAAAAAAAGATGATCCCTGAAAATCCTACTTCCAGATACATACACCAGAGAGAATCTCTGACAGGTCCATTATGGGGCACTGTGAAGATGTTCACTGCAGTGCTGTTTGGGTAGCAAGGAGCTGGAGGCAGCCTGGGTGCCTACTGAGAGCAGAATGCGGGAAACATGTCTGATGGGCTACTATCCAGCATTTAGGACTCGCCTGTAATCCCAGCACTTTGGGAGGCCAAGGCAGGCGGATCACCTGAGGTTGGGAGTTCGAGACCAGCCTCACCAATATGGGGAAACCCCGTCTCTACTAAAAATACAAAAAATCAGCCGGGCATGGTGGCAGGAGCCTGTAGTCCTAGCTATTTGGAAGCCTGAGGCAGAGCACTCCAGCCTGGGTGACAGAGTGAGTGAGACTCCGTCTCGAAAAAAAACAAAAACAAAAAACAGTGACTAGATATACACAGAACAACATGAATAGACCTAATATCAGCATTAAATGAGAAGTAGAAAACAGAATGCAGTTTAGAACACGACAACATTGATTAATGTCAAAAGCCTATGCACACAACTCCACTTTGTAATTTTCCAGGATCCAGCTATTTTCAAGGACATACATCAAACCTATTCAAATGGATTTTTTTTTTTTTTTTTTTTTTTTTTGAGACAGAGTTTTACTCTTGTTGCCCAGGCTGGAGTGCAATGGCGTGATCTTGGCTCACTGCAACCTCTGCCTCCTGGATTCAAGTGATTCTCCTGCCTCAGCCTTCTGAGTAGCTGGGTTTACAGGTGCCTGCCACCACGCCCGGCTAATTTTGTATTTTTAGTAGGGATGGGGTTTTGCCATGTTGTCCAGGCTGGTCTCGAACTCCTGACCTCAGGTGATCCTCCCACCTTGGCCTCCTAATGTGCTGAGATTACAGGCATGAGTCACTGTGCCTGGCCTCAAGTGGGTTCTTAAGGAAGGGAGGGGAATTCAAGGGTGCAATGAGGATGAAGAGGAAACATGAAAATAAGGAAGGGCCTTGAACATATGGAGGCCGAGAGCGCGCCTGGAACTGAGGATGGGAGCAAGTCACACCTCACCACTGTCCAGCAGGAGCAACGCATAGGTGCATCTCAACTCCCACACCTGACATCACCCTTAATGGAGAGAGATGATAAATATTTCCACTAAACACAGGATCAAGAGAAGGAACTCATTGTCACAGTAGTTCTGAAGGTCGATCCTGAGAAGAAAATCAGAATAAAAAGATGAGGAAGGAGGAGGTCAGTTTTTGTACATTTGCGGACACTATGTACTTACTATTGTGATGCGGTAGGGACGCCACAGCACCGCCTGCGCGACGTTGTTGTCAGAGAACCTTGAACTGAATCTGGTTAGCAGTAACTACCAGCTTATTGGAAATGCAGTGGGAGGGGAACATCCACACAGGCATGCATGCCGTCAGATCCAGAAGGCGGAAGATTTTACAGCCAACTTATGCTTTCTTCAACAACGAAAAAAAATGGTAAGAAACAAAAAAAAGAGGGGCCAGGTGCAGTGGCTCACGCCTGTAATCCTAGTACTTTGGGAGGCTGAGGCAGGGAGATCACTTGAGCTCAGGAGTTCGAGACCAGCCTGGGCAACAACCCTGTCTCTGCAAGAAATACAAAAATTAGTTGGGCGTGGTGGCGTGTGCTTGTAGTCCCAGCTACTCTGGAGGCTGAGGTGGGAGGATCACCTGAGCCAAGAAATGTCAAAGCTGCAGTGAGCCGTGATTGCACCACTGCACTCCAGCCTGGGCAACAGAGTGAGACCCTGTCTAAAAAAAAAAAAAAAAAAAAGCAATAGACTTAGATGAAATATTTGCAATATTTATAACAGTTAATTAATATCCAGACTATAAAGAACCCCTACACAATGACAAGAAAAAAACAACAACAACCCATTGGAGAAATGGGCAAAGAATATTATAGTAAACATTCATGATTTGTATTTTAGAGAGCCCCTTATAATGTGCATACTTCAGGGGGCACCAGTAGCCACAGAACCGAATTCTTCATCTCTCCCCCACCCCCCAGTGTAGCAGGAGGGGGGTGGCATGTGCCATGGGTATCACCCACCTGGCAATCTCTCCCAGAACATTGAGTCTTGAGTGTATGATGCAAATTTGTAGAAATAGTTGGGAGGTCATGTGTAAGAATTTTTTTTTTTTTTTTTTTTGAGATGGAGTTCCACTCTGTCGCCCAGGCTGGAGTGCAGTGGCTCAATCTCGGCTCACTGCAACCTCCGCCTCCCAGGTTCAAGCAATTCTCCTGCCTCAGCCTCCCGAGTGGCTGGGATTACAGGCGCCTGCCACCACGCCTGGCTAATTTTTTGTATTTTTAGTAGAGACACGGTTTCACCGTGTTGGCCAGGCTGGTCTTGAACTCCTGACCTCAGGTGATCCGCCCGCCTTGGCCTCCCAAAGTTCTGGAATTACAGGTGCGAACCACTGGGCCTGGCCCGAATCTTCTTCTTTATTGCTTCAAGTTAACTGTGCTTGGGGGATAAAGGGAGGAGTCTGAATTTGTGGTGAGGCAGATAGGGGGACACTGCAGTACTTTGAAGGAGTTACAAGCTTCTTAGAGGTATTAGAGAGAGGTTCCACACCTAAGGCTGAAGAATGCAGGGTTACAGCAGGACCCGTGTGTGTGTGTGTGTGGGGTGGGGGGGGCGGTGTGTGTCTACTCCAGGCCAGACTGGTCCCAGCTCTGCTCAACAGCTATGTAGAGTGAGTGTGATATTTCTTGGCAATGGGGAAACCAACTGGTTCAAGTGATTCTCCTATAAAACTCAATTGCCTCACTATGAGCCAGAATCCCATAGGAGGTCTGCCTTAGTTTGGGTGTCTCCCAAAAGCAGAGCCTGAGAGAAGGACTTGAGGAAGATAGTTTTCTTGGGAGCTGATCCCAGAAAGCAGGAGTGAAAAAGAGGAGGGAGTGAGACGGGGAAGGAGGCAAGCCCAATCGGGGTGCATTGTCAAGGCTGCTGCACATTTTGGGTGATGGGGCTCACCAGCATCTCCAAGCATACAGAATGGTTGATCTGAAGGAGGGGTGGCTGGAGGATTTACCCACCAGCTTCCATTCCCCGTGGGCATGAACTCCCCAGCAGGTCTGAGCTGTGCTGTATTGGCTGAGCAAGCTTCTATTGGTGCTAGAGAAAGCCCTGGGGCAGAGAGTGTGGCTCATGCTTGAGGAGGGGTATTTTCAGCACAAGGACCTGGTTGAGTTCTGATGGAACTGTCTACTTTTGTTGTGGCTGAAATCAGCGGGTCAAGGGGGTGCAACGTGGGACACCAGAGGTGCCTACTGTAAGACCCCACACCCAATCTCCAGTAAGAATCTGGGAATGCACAATAGCAACCAAACCATAAAACACCCAAGAATGAACTGAAGAAACGTGTGAGATGTGGATGAGAACAACCATAACACTCTAATGGGCCGGGCGCGGTGGCTCACGCCTGTAATCCCAGCACTTTAGAAGGCCGAGGCGGGCGGATCACGAGGTCAGGAGATCGAGACCATCCTGGCTAACACGGTGAAACCCCATCTCTACTAAAAATATTTTAAAAAATAGCCAGGCGTGGTGGCGGGCGCCTGTAGTCCCAGCTACTCGGGAGGCTGAGGCAGGAGAATGGCACGAATCCGGGAGGCGGAGCTTGCAGTGATGGCGCCACTGCACTCCAGCCTGGGCGACAGAGCGAGACTCCATCTCAAAAAAAAAAAACAAAACAAAAAAACAACTATAATGAAGGCCATAAAAATACTTCATATAGTCAACTTGACTATGACGTCTCCATATTGCTATGATGTCAAGTTTCCCTAGATTGAGCTATAAATTCAAGGTTATGCAAATGAAAATTCCTGGGCAATGTATTTTTGCAATTGGACAAAATGAGCCTAAATTCATCTAGAAGACTAAACATGTGAGAGTAGCCAGCAGAAAAAATTTAAAAGAACAATAATAAGGGGACTTGTCCTATCAGATGTTAAAATATATCATAGGTTGAAGGGGGCCTACCCCTCCACACCTGTGAGTATTTCTCCCAAGGTGGAGATGAGAGACTGAGAAAAGAAATAAGACACAGAGACAAAGTATAGAGGAAGAAAAGTGGGCCCAGGGGACTGGCACTCAGCAAGTGAAGACCTGCACCTGCGCTGGTCTCTGAGTTCCCTCAGTATTTATTGATCACTATCTTTACTATCTCGGCGAGGGGAATGCGGTGTGACTATAGGGTGATGGTGGGGAGAGGGTCAGTAGGAAAACACGTGAACAAAAGACTCTGTGTCATAAATAAGTTTAAGGAAAGGTGCTGTGCCTGGATGTGCACGTAGGCTACATTTATATTTAACTTTACATGAACATCTCAGAGCAGTAAAGAGTAACAGAGCAGTACTGCCACCATGATGTCTCGCCTCCAGCCATAAGGCGGTTTTCTCCTATCTCAGAATAGAATGTATGCTCGGTTTTACACCGAGTCATTCCATTCCCAGGGACGTGCAGGAGACAGATGCTTTCCTCTTAACCTCATAGAGGCCTTCCTCTTTCACTACTCCTCCTCAGCACAGACCCTTTACGGGTGTCGGGCTGGGGGATGTAAGGTCTTTCCTTTCCCAGGAGGCCATATCTCAGGCTATCTCCGTGGGGGGAAACCTGGACGATACTCAGGCTTTCTTGGGCAGGGGTCCCTGCAGCCTTCCGCGGTGCATTGTGTCTCTGGTTAATAGAGAGTGGAGAATGGCAATGACTTTCACAAAGCATACAGCCTGCAAACACATTTTTAACAAAGTGCATCCTGCACAGCCCTAAATCCCTTAAACTTTGAGTTTAAGGGATTGTTTTTGTGAGCACAGGGTTGAGACAAGAGTTACAGATTCACAGCATCTCAAAGCCGAACAACTTTTCTTAGTACAGATCAAAATGGAGTTTCTAATGTCCTCCTTTTTCTACATAGACACAGTAACAATCTGATCTCTCTTTCTTTTCCCCACAATAGATCTACATAATTAAAACACACTTGGCACTGGCATAGGGATGGAGAGAGGAGTCAGTGACATGGAATAGACTCCAGAAACGGATCCAGGGAATTAGTTGAGGGTGTCTTGGCTGTAAGTGACAGAAATTCAGTGAGAACCAGCTTAATTAATAAAGAAGGGAAGAAGTTATATGAAAAAGACACATGGCCTGGGCGCAGTGGCTCATGCCTGTAATCCCAGCACTTTGGGAGGCCGAGGTGGGTGGATCACCTGAGGTCGGAAGTTCAAGACCAGCCTCACCAACATGGAGAAACCCCGTCTCTACTAAAAATACAAAATTGGCTGGGTGTGGTGGCACGTGCCTGTAATCCCAGCTACTTGGGAGGCTGAGACAGGAGAATTGCTTCAACCCAGGAGGCGGAGGTTGCGGTGAGCGGAGATTGCGCCATTGCACTCCAGCCTGAGCAACAAGAGCGAAACTCCGTCTCAAAAAAAAGAGAAGAAAAGAAAAGAAAGAAAAAGACACATGCATCATGCATATGTTTATTGTGGGCCAATTCACAATTGCAAAGATATAGAACCAACCTACATGCCCATCAAGCAATAAGTAGATAAAGAAAATGTGGTGTAGGGGCGTGGTGGCTCATGCCTGTAATCCCAGCACTTTGGCAGTCTGAGGCGGGTGGATCACTCGAGGTCAGGAGTTCAAGACCAGCCTGGCCAACGTGGCGAAACCTCCTCTCTACTAAAAATACAAAAATTTGCTGGGCTTGGTAGTGTGCACCTATAGTCCCAGCTACTTGGGAGACTGAAGCAGGAGAATCGCTTGAACTTGGGAGGCGGAGGTTGCAGTGAGCCGAGTTGCACCACTACACTCCAGCCTGGGCGACAGAACAAGACTCTATCTCAAAAAAAAAAAAAAAAAAAAAAGAAATAAAGAAATGTGGTATATATACACCACGGAATACTACCCAGCCATAAAAAGGAACAACATAATGTATTTTGCAGCAACTTGGATGGTGCTGGAGGCCATTATTCTAAGTGAAGTAACTCAGCAATGGAAAACCAAATACCGTATGTTCTCACTCATAAGTGGGAGCTGAGCTATGAATACGCAAAGGCATACAGAGAGCTATGATGGACTTTGGAGACTCAGAAGGGCTGAGTGGGGTGGTGGATAAAAGCAGGGGTGTGGAATTAAACACTACATATTGAGTACAACGTACACTACCCAGGTGACAGGTGCACTGAAATCTCAGACTTCACCACTATTCAGTTCATCAATGTAACCAAAAGCCACTTGTACCCCA